>NC_000007.14:93112839-93415869 GCF_000001405.40 Homo sapiens | reverse complement strand
CTTGGCATCTTTGTCAAAATTAATTGGCCATAAATGAGTGGATTTATTTCTGTGTTCTCTGGTCTGTTCCATCAGTGTATATGTCTGTTTTTAGGCTGGTACAATACTGTTTTGATTACTTTAACTTTTCAGTATATCTTGAAATTAGATAGTGTGATGTTTCTAGCTTTGTTCTTTTTGCTTAGGATCGCTTTGGTTATTTGGGGTTTTGGGGGGTTTCATACGTATTTTAGGATTTTTTTTTATTTCTATGAAAATGTGTCATTAGAATTTTGACAAGGATTGGTTTGAATCTGTAGATTGCCTTGGGAAATATGTAAATTTTAACAATATTATCTTTTCCAATTCATAGACATGGGTTATCTTTCCATTTATTTGTGTCTTCTTTAATTTTTAAATGAAATTATTTTTCATGAAATTACTTTTCATGAAATTATTTTTGAAAACTATTAAGTTTTCAGTGTACAGGTCTTTCACCTCCTTGGTTACATTCATTCCTGAATATTTTTTGTAGTTATTGTAAATTTGATCCTATCTCACACTGTATACAATAATCAACTCAAAATAGATTAAAGTTTTAAATGTGCAATCTGAAACTGTAAAACTACTAGAAGGAAGCATAGGGAAAAACCCTATGACATTGATCTGGGCAATGATTTTTCTGTTTGGATATTAACACAAAAGCAACCTGAACAGTTGGGGTTGCATCAAACTAAAAAGCTTTTGCACAGAAAAAGAAAGTCAACACACAGGAGAGACAACTTATGGAGTGGGAAAAAAAATACTTGCAAATCATATATCTGACAAGGGATTAATATCCAAAATATATGAGGAACTCAAACAATTTGATAGCAAGAAAACAAATAATCTGATTAAAAATGGGCAAATGACCCGAATAGAAATTTCTTAAAAGAGGACATACAAATGGCAAGCAGATAAAATTGCTTAACATCATGAATCATCAGAGAAATGCAAATAAAACCACAATGAGCTATGAATTTACACCTGTGAGAAGGGCTATTATCAAAAAGATGAAAGGTAAACATTGGCAAGGATGATGAAAAGGGAACCCTTGCATACTATTGGAATGTAAATTAGTACAGCTATTAGGGAAACTAGTATGGAGGTTCTTAAAGAAATTAAAAATAGAACTACCATATGACTCAGCAAAAGCATTAGTGGGTACTACCAAAGGAAATGGAGTCAGTATGTCAAAGAGATATCTGCACATCTATGTTCAGTGAAGCATTATTCACAATAGCCAAGGATGAACAGGTGAAGAAAATGTGGTATATATACACAATGGAATACTATTCAGCCTTTTTAAAAAAGGAAATTCCTGTCATTTGCAACAACATGAATGAACATGGAGGACATTAGGTTAAATGAAATAAGCCAGGCAAATACCACATGATCTCACTGATATGTGGAATCCAAAAAAGTTGATCTTAAAGAGAGTAGAATGGTAACGGTTGGGGGAGGCTGTTGGGGAGATGTTGGTTAAATGATACCAAAGTTTAGTTAGACAGGAGGAATAATTTCAAGAGATCTGTGGCACAACATGGTGACTATAGTTAATAACAATATATTGTATTTCAAGGCATAAAAATACATGTATTTCAAAACATGAAAATTGCTAAGACAGTAGATTTTAAGTGTTCTCACCACTTTAAAAAAGGATGTGAGATGTCTATATTAATTAGCTCAATTTAGCCACTCTAAAATATATGCATATTTCAAATATCATGTTGTACATGATAAATATACACAATTTGTATTTGTCAATTAAAATGAATAAAAAATTTAAAATTAAAATATGAAAATAAGGATTTCAAAGAGCTATTAGCAGTTTTATATTAATTGCAGCACTATTCACAATACCCAAAGTTGTGGAAACAACCTAAATGTCCATTAGTGGATGACTGGATGAAGAAATGTAGCATTAATTATTAATAATACAGAGGAATAATATTCAGCCTTAAAAAAGGAAGAAATTTTGCAACATTTAGCAACAGGGATGAAATTTGAAAACTTTATGCTAAGTGAAATAAGCCAGTGACAGAAGGACAAGTAGCTCATGATTGCACTTATATGAAGTATCTAAAATAATCAAACTCATGGAGTCGGAGAGTAGAATAGTGGTTACCAGAAGTTGAGGGGAAGGGGAAATGGGAGTTGCCAATCAACAGGCATAAAGTTTCAGTTATAGAAGGTAAGTAAGTTCTATAGGTCTGCTGTACAACATAGTACCTATAGTTAATAATACTGTATTGTGTACTTTAAAAATATATTAAGAGGGTAGAGATCTACCCATGTTAAGCATTCTTACTACAATAAAATAAATATTTTTAAGTGACAGGTTAACCTTGTGATTTCAATTCAAAGTTTGTACTAACTGATTTAGACTTGAACTTGTTAGTGGAAGTCTTGCTGAGTTGATATATACTGTATAAATGTTTAGGGAAATTTAGAATAACTACATTTATAAGCTAAATTGCTCCATAATAGATTTGCTTAGATGAGTCAGATAAAAGAGAAATCGAATACATTTATTTTATATGTGCAGTTTAAAATATTGAGGTTGTTTAAGGTTATAAATGAGATCAAACATTATATAAAGCCCTCTAAAATTAGTTGTTAAAATTTGGTAGACATAAGAATAGAATAATGAGATTTTTAAACTGAAGTTAAATGCACAAAGAAAAACTGGACTTTTAAATTTATAACTTTAATGAGTTGAATATTAGTTTTAAAATCAAATAAACTTCTGAATAGTATTTTCAACATGTAAACATGGTTCTCAAAGGCATATTGAACCTTGCATTCAATATTCCTGTAGGGGAAAAAGTCTGATGAAAGTTAATATTAATAGTTGAAACCTGGTAGGCTAAAAAATGCCCCTATACTTTGGAGGAACATAAAGTATATCTTGACTTTTTAAGGATTTATTTCTAGTTTCTAGTAGTTTTAGCAAATATAAAAGTTAATTTCACATTAGCATTTTTGTGGGAAAATATAACTAGTCACAAAAGGAAAAAGAAGACTTAGGCAGTTTTTCAGGTGGTGCTGAGTTTCCTATACTGAGGGGATAAGACATAATTACTCTCCCAAATGGCAACAAAGGTGAGCTAAACAGGTATATATTTTTTATTGTGTGTGAGAATTAGCATTTTTCAAGGGCCTACTGTGTGCCAGTCATTGTACATATATTATTTCATTTAATCTTTACAAGAACCTATAAGTGGTTGTACAAATATAGAAACATGAAGTCACACTGGTTGTGAGTGGTGGAGCCAAAATTCTAAGTCTGACTCCATAACCTGTGCTCTTTATATACCAGTGTTTCTCAGTGGACGCCGAGGACCACATGCAGCACAATCGCTGATGTGCTTATGAAACATACAGATTCTTAGACCCCATTCCAAGTCTCTGGAATTAGAATATCTAGGGATGGTGACAAAAACATGGATTTTTGAGAACTAGTTTGAGAAGCCATGTGACCAACATATGCCACCAAGCTCCACTCTTTCTCTGAACTTGAGTATTTGACATTTTTTATATGAAACTATTCATTGTGAGGATATGTTATTTATGAAAGCAGTGTGATCTTCCTGCTAGGAGATAATTCAGTTATTGGGAATATGGGGCTTGTTTTTTATTGGAAAATCCTCATTTCAAAAAACACATAACACCTGTTAACAAAATATCTCATCACAGGACTTTCTTTTACCATGTCAGCACTACAGACTGCTTTACCAGATTGCTCTAATATGTGGCTGCAATATCTGTTTTGCAGAAATTTCTTAAGCAAGTATGAGTTTATACATGGCATACCAAAAGCTTTTAAAGAGATATTTTGGCTTGACCATCCATCAGCAGTCCTCCTATGTGACCTTACGATTGACAGAGACCATTTCTGAGTTTGGGTCAATAAACAAGAAAACAAAGGTTAAAATGAGTTTTAATTTCTGCGTGTGATAGCAGTACCAGCTTCGTTATATCCAGTTATTCTTTCTGTCATGGGCACATGGGAAGATTTCCCAGCTTCCTTGCAAGTAATGGCACTATGTGCTTATTCTGGCCAATGGCCTGAGTGTAGAAAATGATGTGTGTCACTTCTAGTTCCAGAGAGTGTAAAAAGTGTGCTTTATTCATTGCTCTCTCTGCTGTAGCAACTATAGAAGTCACAGCAACGTAAGATGGCAGAAGAGCCTCTGACAACCTGGCTTCCCTGCAGCAGAGCCCTCACCTAGCCAGCATCAGCCATGTGGGACATGCAAGAAAATAAGAACTTTATTGTGTTAAATCCATATTTTGTAAGCTAATTTGTTACAGCAATATAACCTAGCCTACTCAGACTCATAACTGGGTTTTTTGAAGCAGCTTACACTAGAATGGAGATGTAATAAGGGGATCATGGCCTGAAAGACAGTCTCAATTATGTTTCTGACTAGTTATCCAACCTTAGTCAAGCCACCTCACCTTTCTGAACATCACTTTCTGAATCTGTAAAATGAAGATTTTTGGACTACATTCAATTCAACAAGTGTTGATGGAACATTTGATATTGTAAGATGTGGGGCAGTGTGCTGGGTGCTAGATATTGAAAGATCATAAAGATTTCTTCCAGATCTCTAATTCCACACCAAGAAACCTCAACCACCTGACCTTTAACATCAACCACAACCTAGTGAGTGTGAATGAGGACCATTGGCAAGTCCACACTTTGGATAATTGTAAAGCTGGTGTGTGAATGATCTCACCTCTTGAGGGAGAAATCACAAGCACTTTCATTCATTCTCATCATTTCCTTTAAACTCATTTTGTAAACTGGTTCTTCCACACTGCCTGATAATGTCTGGGGAAGGCACCTTTGCATTCACAAGAACAATCTCATTTCTGGAATTAAAATGTTTAAGAGAGTGTAATTAGCACGTAACTCCGAAATTCTTTCAACCTAAAACCTTTTCCCCCTTTAGACTCCAGCAGAGAAAACTACAGTGGAGATAGGGGAGATAGGGCTGGTCAGTTTTTCTTCCCCACACTCTAGCTGATGTTTCTGACTCCTCCAGAGTTAGGCGTAGGGATGGCAGTATTAGGAGAGAAAAAAGTAGTCTTACATGGTAGTTATATCTGTGATCTGTCTTTATTCATTCTGGATGTATAGGACCTACAGTTTCTGGTAGGTCCTCTGGTAAGGTCACCTCTTCATTCCAGGCTGGCTTCCCTTCACTAAGTTCACATTTGATCCCTGGAGAGCATTCATCTTTGCCCCACTGAATGCAAGCCCAGAAACCCTCTCTACCTGCCATTAAGGCAGGGCAGCTTCAACCTGTCTCACAATTACGGGCTCTGTGGTAGACATCTGATCTCTGTTTTCTCACGCTTCTTTCAGCATATCAGCTTCTCTCCTCTCAAAGAGCCTCTTTTCAGCACTTCTACTCTGGTTTATGATGAAGAGGAAGACATCGCCTTCCTTATGCCATTGGTGGAGAAAAGGGGAAGTTGGGGATTGTTGAATATTTACAACTCTCCAAAGAAATCCTTTCGCTTCAGGCCTCTTTACTTCAATCCTTTAAGTGCTTCAAAGTGCATGATACAACAGTATTGGGAAAACATATTTACAATACTTTGGGACTTCCAATGTGGGCTAACACCTTGCTTTAGGACATTCTGTAGGGATATTAGACACCTAACATATTGTTCTTGGCCATTGTAGTCTCAGTTAAAAATGGGACACATTTTGACATTCTATTTATAATACTAACTTACATGTATATGAGTTTCACAAACTTCTTATTTGTAGGCAGTTTCGTATAATGAAATGAACACAGCTTCTATTATTGAATAGAATTTGGTTCAAATTTACCTCTGCCATTAGTAACTGCATATCATATTCCCCATCTGTTAAATGAAGATAATGTCTAATTTTCTCAGCATTTTTGAGAATTAAATTAGTCATATGTAAATATAATAACATCACTGACTCATTGTAAGAAATCAGCAAATCAACTTCCCTTTTCCTTCCCAAGCTTCCAGCAGATAATATGGTCATTACCAATTTCCTAATGACATTAAGTCAGGAACTAAATGACAGAGGCCAGCCTCAAACACAGGCTTTCAGACTCTAAATCTCACTTCTTTTGCCAAGTCAGCTTGTCTTTACGTGCCAAAGCTTGAGATATACATAGATGCTTCAGAAAAACATTTCTCTTTATTGGCTGTTTTTAGTTTGTAAAATTTAATACAAGTGGTGGAAGACATATTACTAAGCCCACTCAGATACTTCCCTGGTGGCTTAGTATGCATCATGTATCTGCAATAAGCCCGTTTGTGTTCAGAATTTTGATTAGTTAGCAAATTCACAATAATTTGAAAATAGGAACTAATTCACAGCTCTGGGGATGACTGTTGATGACTATATTTATAGAGATTGCTGTGCATAATTGATTGTTTGCCAAGTTCCAAGCACCATCATTAAAATTTATAAATCATTTTTGCACCCAGGATGTTCAAAGTCTTTGCACTGGCAGCGGTTTTCATCCAACAAAGTCAGTGAGACATTGGTCTCCTAGGCTTGTTTATTTATACCAAGCTTGTATCCCCAGGTTTACATATTTAAAAGAACACAGACTGGGGTTTTGACAGACATGGAGAGTGTCATTTTCTTACCCCTCTCAGAAAGTACTGGCTACTCAGTACCCATTTTTTAAGCTGAGTGTACACTCTTCTCAAGGTGGCACCAGCCAATGACTAAATGTTATTAAATTTCTTTAAGTTAAAGTCCAGAAGCAAAACATGCAAGAGAAGAACTTAAAGAGTAATATTCATATATATTTTTAGCATTTTCCAATCTTTAAAGTTGTCTCACTCATCCTTAATTCAACAACAATTTTTGTAACTCACTCATCATTGTTGTTCCAAAGAATTTAACTTAATTTTCTCAGAAAAACACAACTCTCTTTTCACACTCTTATTAGCTTCATGTGATATTTAGTTAAATTATGTAATTACAAAAGCAAGAGTAACTAGTATCAAATGACTTGAGAACAAGTACTTGTTATGCAGGTATACTTGTAATAGTGATTATGAATCACTTAAACTTTAGTGATTATGAATCACCTGGAGATTGTTAAAATGCAGACTCCTATTTAGCAGGTCTGAGTTTGGGTTACTATCACCAGATGATCGTGGAGGTGATGCCAACTGCTGTTGGTCCTTGACCACACCATCTTGAGCAACTTCTAATCATGAGCATTCAGCATGCCCTGGGCACCCACTAGTATGTTTTAAAAAGGGAAGAAACAACATGGCTTCACCTGACAAATCAGGAGAGTTTCTTCAATGAGAATAAATGAGGTTTCACTTTGGTTATATGCTATGCTAAGCACTTTACTTACATCATCTCATTTAATTGCCTGAAACATCGTATCCACAAAGGTAATATTCTCATTTTATGGATCACAAAACTAAGGCTCAGCCAGCTAACCTGCTCAACGTCACATAACCATTATGTGATAAGAGACACTCAACTAGGAGAGAACAGCTTTACATTTTTCCAGTTAAGGTTTTTAAAATCATCTAAATCGAGGAAATCTAAACCAGGACTATAGTCTAAAAAGACAAGCCCACCTCTCACTTTTTAAAAATTATAGTTCAGGGAATTTTTCCCAAAATGAATGTGAAGAAATAAAAGACTAAACAAAGTATTCAAATTCTTAGACTTCTGGAACAGACCCCGGGTGAGGTAAGCCCATGCCATACCTCATTTACTGAAGAAAAAATTATTATTCTTATCAATGGAAACTTTTATGATGAAATTCTGATTGATTTATTAATTCATAATGTTTGTGGATTTTTGAGTGCTCATGAATCAAACTTTATATCACATTAGTCTTATAAGGGATACAGAATATTCTGGAGTGATGTCAACAATGTGGCCTACTAAAGGTGCCTAACATTCATCCCCTTACACAAAATGGACCCAAAACAATTAATAAACAACCACGTTTTGACTAGAGTATCTGAAGGAGAGGGTTAGAGTACAGCAGGCGAGTGGCAGACACTCTGGGGAGCAGAGATTCAGGATGCCCACATTAAAAGGGGGAAAAAAAGCCCACTCTGCCTTTGCCACTCTGTCTTCCCAGTTGGGATCAGCTTGGGACCAGGAGATACTCTCCCTGTGAGAAAAGGGTAAGCAGGGGACCTCCAACTGTCCCCATTAAAGCTGCAGACACCTACAATCTTCACTGCTCGAAAACCCTGTAGTCCTCGTAGGCCCTGAGACCAGTCTAGTAAGCCGTCTGGAGTTCACGTGGATGCATTACTCCAAAAAAGACGTTCATGTTGTTCCCCTTCTCCTCTCTCACATGATTCAAGCCCCATTGTGAAACCAGAGCCACTTCCAAAGCAGATTTTGCTCTAGGGGCCAGTAGGTAGTGCATCTTTCCATCTCTGAGGCTCTGTTGCCACCACATGGTAGATATACATGGTAACACTATTCCCCAGTGGAGTAGTTACAGCTTCATACACACTGGGAATAAACTACCTAGGAGGCACTCCATCTTCCCCATCCTAATGGCTGCAGTACCCCAAACCCAGCTACTCAGAGCCTAAGTCCAGCTGAACAGTCATAATTCTGGCACCTAAGCTCATGTAATGTCCTGTCCCCTAGAAAACAAGCAGTTCTCCCCAGTATGGAGACTTGTGTCCAATCCAGCAAAACAGCTCCCATGTACCCTTGGCATGAGGAATAGCCTGGCACTCCTGTCCCCAGTTGGGAGACAACACCTGACCAAGCAGAGCATCCCCTGCACACTTATCACAGAGAACAGCCAGCACCCCTAACCCCAGTGGGAGAGCCAGGCTTGACTCAGCAGAGCAGCTGCACAAACTCCTCCAGCCTAGGCCACTGAGGCACTCACAGGCATCACTGACATTTAATACTGCTGAAGAAACTGCACAGGTGTTACACTACACACACCAGGAACCAAAGACAATGCACCTTACCCAACCAACACCCTAGGACAAGACAACAAGCAAAAATTTTTTTCTATGATAGCTACCCTATAAAATTGGAAGAGGTGATTGTTCCACCAGACACACAGATATTATCAATGCAGGGATACAAGAAACATGAAAAATCAATGAGACATGATTTTATCAAAGAAACACAGTAATTCTCTAGTAACTGACCCCAAAGAAATCGTAGTTTATAAATTAAAAATAATGAACTTAAGGAAACTCAGCAAGATACAAGAGGACACAGATAGACAATTCAACAAATCAGAAAAACAATTTATTATCTGAATGAGACATTTAACAGAGATAAATATCAATTTAAAAAACAAATCTTGGGACTGAAGACTTCAATAAAAAATTAAAAATACAGTTGGTAACTTCAACAGCAGACTAGATCAAGCAGAAGAAAGAATTTTTTAACTTACAACAGGGTTTTTGAAATAAGTCAGTTTTGAAATAAGAAAAAAGAATGAAAAATAACAAAAAGAATCCTGCAAGACTTACGAGAAACCATTAAGCAAACAAAAATTTACATCATGGGATTTTCATGAAGAAAACAGATAGAGAAAGGCACAGAAAGTTTATTTAACAAAATAATAGCTGGAAATGTCCCATGTCTTTAGAGAAATACGGATATCCAGATCTATGAAGCCCAAAGGATCCCAATTATATTCAACCCAAATAGGTCCCCTCTAAGGCATATTATAATCAACTGTCAGAATCAAACACAACGAGAGTTTTCAAAGCATCAAAAGAAAGTGTCAACTCACATATAAGGGAATTCCCATTGGATTATTAGCAGATTTCTCAGCAGAAACCTTGCAGGCCAAGAAAGAATGAATGGAATAATACATTAAAAGTGCTGAAGGAGAAAAAGAAACTTCCATCCTAGAATACTATACCCAGTAAAGCTATCATTTTGAAATGAAGGAGGAAAAAAGTCTTTCCCAGACACGCCAAAGCTGAGAGAATTCATCACCTCTATGCTAGCCCTACAAGAAATGCTTAAGGGAGTGCTTCAGTTAGAAACAAAAAGATGTTAATTTCTACCATGAAATCACACAAAAGTGTAAAACTCACTGGTAGAGGTAAACGCATAATCAAATTCAGAATACTCTATTACTTTAATGATGAGATATAATCTTTAAATCTCTAGTATGAAGGTGAAAGTCAAAATGGTCTACAATAACCATACCTAAAATTAGTTGTTAAGGATTACACAATATAAAAATATGTAAATTAAAGCAAAAAAAAATTACCAGTGTGGCTGGGAGGGTAAAAGTCTAGAATATTTATATGCTACCAAAATTAAGTTGTTATTAGATTAAAATAGTCATCTATAACTATAATATTTATTAATGTAAGCCTCAGGGCAATCATGAAAAAAATGCAGCAGAGTCACAAATGAGAAAGAGAAAGGAATCAAAGCTTAGCACTATAAAAATCCACAAAACCACAAAAGTAAACAAGACAAAACCCATATGATCATTTCTATAAGCACAGAAAAATCATTTGAGAAAACATCCCTTCATGATTAAAAACTCAACAAATGGGGCATAAAAGAAGCACACTTCAACACAATAAAGGCCATATATAACAAACTCACAGCTAACATCATAGTGAAATGGGAAAAGTTGAAAGCTTTTCCTCTAATATCTGGAAGAAGATAAGGATGCCCACTTTCACCATTTTTATTTAACATAGTATTGAAAGTCCTAGCCAGAGCAACTAGTTTAAAGAAAGAAAGGGAATCTAAATTGGTGAGGAGGAAGTCAAATTGCTCCTCTTTGCAGATTACATGATCTTATATACAGAAAACCCTAAAGACTCCACTCATACAAAAAAAAAACTGTTAGAACTAATAAACAAATTCAGTAAAGTTGCAGAATACAAAATCAGCTCACACAATTCAGTAGTGTTTCTATATGCCAATAACAAACTATCCGGGAAAAAAATCAGACAAGCAATTCTGTTTACGATAGGTATAAAAATAATAAAACACCTATGAAGAAATGTAATCAAGGAGGTGAAAGAACACTACAATTAAAATTATAAAACATTGATGAACAAAATTGAAGAAGACACAAAGAAATGGAAATATATTCTACATTCATGGATTAGAAGAATTAATATTGTTAAAATTTCCATACTACCCAAAGCAAGCTACAGATTTGATAGAAACACTATCAAAATACCAATGGCATTCTTCACAGAAATAGAAAACACAATCCTAAAATTCTTATGGAACCACAAAAGACCCCGAATAGCTAAAGTAACCTTAGGCAAAAAGAACAAACCTGAAGGCATCACTACCTGACTTCAAAATATACAACAAAGCTATATAACCTAAACAGCATGGTAGTGGCATAAAAACAGACATACAGACCAATGGAACATAATAGAGAATACAGAAATAAACCCACACGGAGCCAACTGATTTCCAACAAAGACACCAAGAACATACACTGGGGAAAGAGTATTTTCAATAAGTTGTGCTGGGAAGACTGAGTATTCATACACAGAAGAATGAAACTAGAACAGTATCTTTCACCTTATAAAAAAAAAACTCAAAATGGATTAAGACTTGAATGTATGACCTGAAAGATAGCATAAATGCTTCATGGTCTGGAGAAGGATTTTTTCTTGCACAGGCAACGAAATAAAAAATCAACAAATGAGATTACATCAAAATTAAAAGCTTCTGCACAGCAAAGGAAACAATCAACAGAGTGAAGACACAAACTACTGAGTGGGAGAAAATATTTGCAAGCCATGCATCTGACACAGAGTTAATATACAAATGATGTAAGGACCTCAAACAATAGCAAAAAACAATCTGATTTTAAAATGGACAAAAGACCTGAATAGGAATTTCTCAAAAGTCTTACAAGTAGCCAACAATCATATGAAAAAACATGCTCAATATCGCTAATCATCACAGAAATGCAAATCAAAGCCACAATGAGATACCATCTCACCCCAATTATCTCACCCCAATTACAATGGCTATTATCAAAACGACCAAAAGTAACAAATGCTGGCATGGAGGTGGAGAAATGGAAATCCTTATACACTGTTGATGGCATGTAAATTAGTACAACCACTGTGGAGAACAGTATGGAGTTTTCTCAAAAAATTAAAAATAGAACTACCATATTATCCAGCAATCCCATTACTGGGTAAATATTAAGTTATTATTATGGTCTAGGGACCATTTTTGACCATGCTACTATGAATCCTAAGAATCTGATTCTATTCTACCAAGGTTCTCATCATCTTTACCTTATTTGTTAGTTTACTATTTGAAGAATGATGTTTAAAGTAGCTGTTCCAACAGACACTGGGGCCTGCCAGAGGGTGGAAGGTGGGAAGAGGGAGAGGAATAGGAAAAATAACTGTTAGGTATTAGGCTTAGTACCTGGGAGACTAAATAATCTGTATCTCAAACCCCTGTGACACGTGTTTACCTATATAACAAGTCTGCACGTGTACTTCTGAACCTAAAATATAAGTTATATTAAAAATTAAAAAAAATAAAGTAGCTGATCCCAGGGCTGCATGCCGTATACTGCACAACTCCGGGGGTGGCAGGCAATATTCATATCAACTGCAGTAGAACAAATACCTCTTAAAAATGTTCACTGTCCCTTGTTCATTCCACTACTTCCTGAATGATGAAACCATCAGGAAAGCAAGGCAACAATTCCTCAGCAGAATAAGCTTCCTTTAGCAGAATAAGCCTTATAGAAGGTAGTCTCAGATTTGAGGTTCACCACGTTGCTCTATCTTGCCTCTCAAGGAAAGATGGTAGAATGCTACAGTGGATCTCCAGCCTGAGTTTAACTTGACTTCACTGCTCGATTTGTGACGGAATTTTACTTTTATAAATGCTCCTAACCATAGTTCTTTCATCTGTAAAATGGAAATTACATCTAAGGGTTGACATGAGGTCAACGTAAGACAATGTGTGTGAAAGTGCTTGAGACAGATCTTCACACAGTCATGCTGTGGTCAGTAAATGGAGATAGTCCTCCATCTAGATGTGTCTGTGAGGTTATTTTTGGATGAGACTAGCATTGAAATCAGTAGACTGAGGAATGTAGATTGCCATCCCTAATGTGGGTGGGCCTCATCTAATCAGTTTAAAGATCTAAATCACACACGAGCATGCGCACGTGCACGTGCGTGCGCGCGCGCGCGCACACACACACACACACACACACACACACATCTCCTATTGGTTTAGTTTTTCTGGGGAATCCTAATACAATAAGTTTCCCTAGTTTGAATGCATAGTCCTCCACTGTTCAGTCCCACACTCTGCCTCCACCACAGCCCTCGATGAATACACACACACACTCACACACACAGACACACACACACACACTTTTCTAACTAGAAAAAAAGTTTCATAGTGCTTCTTACCTAATAGCCACAGGATATGTTCTTCCAGTTATCTTTTCCCAGCAATGGATAAGGCTTTAAGGCTTTACATTTACCTAAGTACAAGTTCTCACCCACATCTTTTTTGGGATGAATTTGCCATATTGCCAAGTGAGTCAATTATAAGAAGCTGCACAGATGCTGGTTTTATAGCATCATGGAAAGAGTTTTGCTGTGTTTCCAACCATATTGTCATTACTGACCAACTACTGAGCATGCCAGCCACAGAGGTTCTCATTAACAACTAGGAAGTGGGGGAGTGTCTCTGATATGCTGAAGGTCATCCTGATGAACATTTCAAATGGTGTGCCTCTCAGAACATTGAGTCTCAGGATGTTAATTGATATTAAGTGAATAAAATAATGTGTGGTTGCACACATTTTGGAAATGCTAGGTTAAAAGAAAATCAAACAGATTCATTGGCTTCAAAACCTTTAATATGCTAATACACATTTGCAAAGAGGATTGTATAGTGTGCAATATTTCTCAACCATATTTGACCAGTGTATGGGTTGAATTGTTTCCCCCTAAAAAAATATGTGTTGAAGCCTAACTCCCAGTACCTCAGAATGTAATCTTACTTGGAAATGGTGTCACTGTAGAAGTAATTTGTTAAGATAAGGTCATATGGAGTAGGACAGGTTCTTAATCCAATATGACTGGTGTCCTTATAAGAAGAAAGAGACACACACAGAGAGGACAGCCATGGGAAGAAGGAGGCAGAGATTGGAATGATGTACCTCAAAGCCAAGGAATGTCAAAGATTGCTGGCTGTCACTGGTAGATAGAAGAGGACAGGCATGAAACAGATTGTCACTTAGAGCCCTCAGAAAGAGCCAACACTGCCAATACCTTGATTTCAGACTTCTGGCCCCCAGAGCTGTGAAAGAATAAATTTCTGTTGTTTTAAGTTACCCAGTTTGTGGTAATTTGTTACACAGCTGCCGTAGAAAACTAATAAAACAATGGATATATTTTGTTCAGGGAATATCTTGGGAGAACAGTCTTGGGAAAACACTTTTCTAGGTGACTTTATATGTTGAAATGTGATTCTGTAATCCTCACTATATTTTAATAGATAGTATAGGGAGGTTTAAGCTGAAAGAGAACCCTTTTTCGTGGTCTTTGTAAGAACCAACACTTTGAAGATTTCACTGTTGCAAGCACTTGTGTTTGCTTGGCAGAGGACTTTTAGCATCAGAAAGAATCATGATTTATGAGAATCTCTTCATTAAGATAATGACAAATCTCAGAAAAAGAGCACAGTCTTCCCAGGGCACTGGGGCAGCCCCTCAGAGCCTGTTGGAGGAATGCTGAGTGTGGTTGTGGAAGGACCTCTGGGGTCAGACAGAGCATGGGTCCAAGACCAGGGTTTCTGGCCTTAGATGAATCACTGGCCTCTCTACATGTTGTTTTTTGCAGATGACAACAAGGGATACTAATGGCAACAGCCCTGACACTGACAGCCTCACCAAGTTCCTTTGCAAACTGTGAAGTTTAACTGTGAATTTAAGGTTCTCATTAGGTAAGAAATCACTTTTCCTTTCTTCTTACCTTTTGTTGAACAGAGAGTTTAGTTGTAAAGTTTTGTATATCAAAACTTGACACATATGTATTCTTGAGGCAAAGTAGCTTACACTGAGCCATGGATCTATTTCTTAAGCTTCTTTGATTAATAATAATTAATAATCCCAGACATTTCTAGCTTCTCTTTTCCCCTAGCTCCAATTAAAATTGAGAATAAGTCTTATTAGCCATGTCTGGATTATACGTCCATGCTTGCAGCCAGAAGTGGGTATATGAGAGTCTGTGTGATCCAATTTACCAGAATGAAGAGAGGTGCTTCACAAAAAGAAAATCAAAGTGCTGTCACTAGAAACAGAAGAAAAAGATGATGGGCTAGTAAAACCTACAAATACCTATCAAAAGTAGTCAGGACCCTTTGACCACATGCAACGACACCACCAACTGTAACTTAAACAATGAAAAGAAATTTTTGGTTCACAAAATCAAACCATTGGGAAGGCACAAGAGCAGGCTGGGCTTCAAGAACTCAGACACTGCCAGGACTGTCTCTCTCTTCAAGTCTGTGCTAGTCCTGTGTGCCAGGCTCATTCTCTCAGTCTGGACTCTGCCATGCTGGAAACATAGGTATCTACAGCTCCTAATATCTCTAGTCTCAGCTTCACCCATGAAAGGGTACTGAGCTTGTGCTCTCTGGGCTCAGTTTTTAAAATCCTGGGGAAGGGTTATGACTGGCTCAGCCTGAAGTAGTGACATCCTTGGACTAATTTTTGTAGCCGGGAAATGACAACTTTGGATAAAACCATGAGAGCTCTGTTATGGCTGCAGTGGTGGAAAGAATGGTTCCCAGAAGACGAGAGATACAATTCCCAAAAGAAGGCAGGGCAAACCGAACACTATATGCTGAGAATAACTTGATTTGCATCACAGTATACTATATGGGTCTTTTCTATTTTAGTCCCTATAAATATACCCACAATACCTCTGAAAGCAGATATAGGAGAGAGAGAGAGAGAGATAATAGATAGATAGATAGATAGATAGATAGATAGATAGATAGATAGAGATAGATAGGATAAACACGTGGATAGATGATAGATGATAGAGAGATGATAGATGATAGAATAGATAGATTAGATTCATAGAAAGATAGACAAATAAGATAAATAGATTAGACAGACAGACAGACAGGCAGACTGAGACAGAGACATATGGATGTCCTGTGATGACTGTATTTTAATAAAGAATTCTTACTTTCACTCGCGTCCGTGTGAAGAGACCACCAAACAGGCTTTTTGTCAGCAACATGGCTGTTTATTTCACCTGGGTGCAGGCGGGCTGAGTCCGAAAAGAGAGTCAGCAAGGGGAGATAGGGGTGGGGCCATTTTATAGGATTTGGGTAGGTATAGGAAAATTACAGTCAAAGGGGGGTTGTTCTCTGGCGGGCAGGAGTGGGGGTCACAAGGTACTCAGTGGGGGAGCTTTTGAGCCAGGATGAGCCAGGAGAAGGAATTTCACAAGACAATGTCATCAGTTAAGGCAGAAACAGGCCATTTTCACTTCTTTTTGTGGTGGAATGTCATCAGTTAAGGCAGGAACCGGCCATCTGGATGTGTACGTGCAGGTCACAGGGGATATGATGGCTTAGCTTGGGCTCAGAGGCCTGACATTCCTGTCTTCTTATATTAATAAGAAAAATAAAATGAAATAGTGGTAAAGTGTTGGGATGGTGAAAAATTTTTTGGGGGTGCTATGGAGAGATAATGGGCGATGTTTCTCAGGGCTGCTTTTAGCGGGATTGGGGCGGCGTGGGAACCTAGAGTGGGAGAGATTAAGCTGAAGGAAGATTTTGTGGTAAGGGGTGATATTGTGGGGTTGTTAGAAGAAACATTTGTCATTTAGAATTATTGGTGATGGCCTGGATACAATTTTGTATGAATTGAAAAACTAAATGGAATAAGAGAAGGAGAAAAACAGGTATAAAAGGTCTAAGAATTGGGACAACTCAGGACATCTGATTAGAGAGTGCCTAAGGAGATTCAGCATAGTCCTGCCAACAAAGATTATTTATTTACTTCAAGAGTTAAGAGTGGCAGTTTGGGGATAGCACCAGGAGATATCAGCTGTGCTGGCTTGGAGAAACAGTGTAAACTGTCAGTGTAAACAAGAGCAGGGCATGTATGAGTAGTTGAGAATGGTGAATAGGAGTATGACTAGACAGAAGATAGTAGGGATGACAAGTTTTCTGGGGCACAGTCCAAGTTGGTCTGATGTCTGGAATGAGACTGGGGCCTAATTAAAAGGAGCTCAAATGGGCTGTACCTTGTAGCATTCCGAGGACAGACCTGAATTCTGAGAAGTGAAAGTGGTAAGTATTGTCCAGTCCTTTTTAAGTTGGTGGCTGAGCTTGGTGAGGTGTGTTTTTAAAAGACCTTTAGTCCGTTCTACTTTTCTTGAAGACGGAGGACCGTAAGGGATATAAAGGTTTCACTGAATACTAAGAGCCTGAAAAACTGCTTGGCTGATTTGACTAATAAAGGCTGGTCTGCTATCAGACTGTATAGAGGTGGGAAGGCTAAACTGAGGAATTATGCCTGACAGAAGGGAAGAAATGACTGCGGTGGCCTTCTCAGACCCTGTAGGAAAGGCCTGTACCTATCCAGTGAAAGTGTCTACCTAGACTAAGAGGTATTTTAGTTATCTGACTCAGGGCATGTTGAGTAAAGCTTATTTGCCAGTCCTGGGTGGGGGCAAATCCTCGAGCTTGAAGTGTAGGGAAGGGAGAGGGCCTGAATAATCCCTGAGGAGTAGTAGAATAGCAGATGGAACACTGAGAAGTTATTTCCTTGAGGATAGATTTCCACGATGGAAAGAAAATGAGAGGTTCTAAGAGGTGGGCTAGTGGCTTGTGCCTGGCATAGCCTGCCTTTGCTGGTGTGTGGCAATTAGGCCTGGTGGAACTGCCATCAATAAATCAAGCGTGATCAGGGTGAGGAACAGGAAAGAAGGAAATATGGGGAAATGGGGTGAATGTCAGGTGGATCAGAGATATACAGTCATGGAGGTCAGGTGTGGTATCAGGAATAATGTGGGAGGCCGGATTGAAGTATGGGCCAGGAACAACGGTAATTGTGGGACTTAACAAAGAGTGAGTACAGCTGAAGGAGCCGGGGAGCAGAAAGCATATGCATCAGGTATGAGAAAGAAAATAGATTTTGGAAGTTATGAGAAATGTGGAGAGTGAATTGAGCATAGTTTGTGATTTTGAGGGCCTCTAAAAGTATTAGAGCGGCAGCAGCCACTGCACGGAGACATGATGGCTAGGCTAAAACAGTAAGGTCAAGTTGTTTGGACAGAAAGGCTACAGGGTGCAGTCCTGCCTCTTGTGTAAGAATTCTGACCACACTAACCATGCCTAGGAAGGAAAGGAGTTGTTGTTTTGTAAGGGATTGAGGTTTGGGAGATTAATCGGACACAATCAGCAGGGAGAGCACATGTGTTTTTATGAGAATTATGCCGAGATAGGTAACAGATAAGGAAGAAATTTGGGCTTGACTGAAGTAATGGGGGCTGTCTGTGAAGACTTGCAGCAGTACAGCCCAGGTAATTTGCTGAGCCTGATGGGTGTCAGGGTCAGTCCAAGTGAAAGCAGAGAGAGGCTGGGATGAAGGGTGCAAAGGAATAGTAAAAAAAGCATGTTTGAGATCTAGAACAGAATAATGGATTGTGGAGGGAGTTATTGAGGATAGGAGAGTATATGGGTTTGGCACCACAGGGTGGATAGGCAAAACAATTTGGTTGCTAAGGCGCAGATGTTGAACTAACCTGTAAGCCTTGTCTGGTTTTAGAACAGGTGAAATGGGGACATCGTAAAGGGAGTTTATAGGTTTTAGAAGGCCATGCTATAGCAGGCGAGTGATAACAGGCTTTCATCCTTTCAAAGCATGCTGTGGGATGGGATATTGGCATTGAGTGGGGTAAAGGTGATTAGGTTTTAATGAGATGGTAAGGGGTGCATGATCGATCGCCAAGGAGGGAGTAGAGGTATTTTATACTTGTGGGTTAAGGTGGGGGAATACAAGAGGAGGACGCAAAGGAGGCTTTGGATTGGGAAGAAGGGCAGCAATGAGATGCAGCTGTAATCCAGGAATAGTCAGGGAAGCAGATAATTTAGTTAAAGTGTCTCAGCCTAATAAGGGAACTGGGCAGGTGGGGATAACTAAAAAGGAGTGCTTAAAAGAGTATTGTCTAAGTTAGCACCGGAGTTGGGGAGTTTTAAGAGGTTTAGAAGCCTGGCCGTCAATACCCACAGCAGTTATGGAGGCAAGGGAAACAGGCCGTTTAAAATAAGGTAATGTGGAGTGAGTAGCCTCGGTATTGATTAAGACGGGGACAGACTTACCCTCCACTGTGAGAGTTACCCAAAGCTCGGCGTCCGTGATGGTCTAGGGGGCTTCTGAGGCGATTGGGCAGCGTCAGTCTTCAGCCGCTAAGCCAAGACGATCTGGGAAGGAGTCAGTCAGAGAGCCTTGGGCCGGAGTTCCAGGGGCTCTAGAAGTGGCTGCCAGGTGAGTTGAACAGTCCAATTTTCAGTGGGGTCCCACACAGATGGGTCACGGCTTAGGAGGAATCCTGGGCTGCGGGCATTCCTTGGCCCAGTGGTCAGATTTCTGGCACTTGCAGCAAGCTCCTGGGGGAGGAGGTTCTGGAGGAATGCCTGGCCACTGCGGTTCAGGCGTTTGGAAGTTCTTATGTGCTGGAGATGTGGCTGGGGTTTGTCTCATAGTGGAGGCAAGAAATTGCAACTTTTTTCTATTATTGTAACCTTGAAGGTGAGGTTAATTAAATCCTGTTGTGGGGTTTGAGGGCCAGAATTTAATTTTTGGAGTTTCATTTAATGTCAGGAGCAGATTGGATAATAAAATGTATTTTAAGAATAAGACGGCCTTTTGACCTTTTAGGGTCTAGGGCTGTAAAGTGTCTCAGGGTTGCTGCCAAACGAGTCATGAACTGGGCTGGATTTTTATATTTGATGAAAAAGAGCCTAAACGCTTCTGATTTGGGATAAAGAAAAAGGAGCATTAACCTTGACTATGCCTTTAGCTCCAGCCACCTTTTTAAGAGTAAATTGCTGGGCAGGTAGGGGAGGGCTAGTCACGGAACGAAACTGTAAGCCGGACCAGGTGTGAGGAGGGGAGGTGATAAAAAGATTATAGGGTGGAGACAGGCTGAGGAAGAATTGGAACCTAGCTCGGCCTGGCGAGGAGCAGCCTGGGGAGGAGGGGAGAGGTCAGGTGGGTCTGTAGAAAAGGAAGATTAGAAAGACTCAGCGACGCTTGGGGTTAGGACTGAGGGGACAGGCGGGAGGGAAAGAAGGAAGATTTGGGACGAGTCCCACTGGGCACAGAGACTAGGGAGAGACCAATGTGTAAAAGAATGCCTGGACGTCAGGCACCTCAGACCATTTGCCCATTTTACGACAAGAATTATTTAGATCTTGTAGGATGGAAAAATTGAAAGTGCTGTTTTCTGGCTATTTAGAACTACTGTCGAGTTTGTACTGGGGTCAAGGGGCATTGCAGAAGAAAATAAGACGCTTAGATTTTAGGTCAGGTGAGAGTTGAAGAGGTTTTAAGTTCTTAAGAACACAGGCTAAGGGAGAAGAAGGAGGAATGGAAGGTGGAAGCTTGCCCATAGTGAAGGAGGCAAGCCCAGAGAAAAGAGTAGAGACATGGAGAAGGGGTGGGGGGTTCTTGCCCTCCAGAAAAGCAGAGAAGGGGTCGGGGCGCAGAAATACGAGGTCGGGGTGTGGAAATAACATGCCCTATTTGCCTTTCCTCTTCAGCTGCCAGGAAGATTAGACAAATGCTTTTGTATTATATCAGTAATTCTCTGGGAAATGAAACCTGGTAGAGTTTTTTCCCTCCTCATATATGTCTGATTTATTTTTTAAATATGTCGGTATGTTTCACTAAAAATTGCTTCAAGTTACTTTTGAAGTACAACATTCAGGTATTTTAGATATTTATGTCAGTCCAGAAAATCTTCCTTTTCTGGATCCTACATCTTATTCCTCATAGTCCCAGTCCTATTACAACACAAGTTAGATCTTTCAGGACCAACTAAGACCCCTGGTTGATAACAATTCTGAAGTCGGGATTACATTAAGTATTAGTTTACTGGGGAGGGGAGCCCCAAAGCATCTTTCCTCCACATATAAATTTAGGAATTTTCTAATTCTGATTAAGGATCAAGTCAAGATGAGTCACCAAAAGGTGGAAAACCCCATTTACATACATTACAGTTAGCAACATGGAATATTTTGCTTGATGTTTTCCCAGAAATACTTTCAAACTCTAATGAAACTCTTTCTAAGGAAAGAGTGCCTACAATAACCACTCAGTCACATTTTGCTATTTACACCGTACATGAGGAGAATAAACTAATTACCATATGTGTCTTTTGTGTGAAAGGCATTGAGAATCACATTACTTTCTACTCAAGTCTTTCCTAGGAGGATGGTTGGTGTCTATTTTTATTATACCTGCTCTACCATTTGGTAATAAACATAGCATATTCTGAAAACTTTCAGGTGAAAAACAAGTCAATGCTTCAGTTACGTGCAATGATTCAGTGTTGCTCTTTGGCAGGGCTGGACCTATGATTTATCTTTTTAAAAAGAGGAAAACCTTTCCTGTCAGATACAAGTAGACAACATTTGTTTAGTGTATTCTCTCTTCTATGAATAATTTTTGTCCTTATTCAAGGTTGATAAATATCATGTTCAATATCCTAAAATCCACAATTTACAAATGTTTTAAGACCCAGCAATTTTTCATTGTCACATCACAGCTTCCTATTTGTTTTTTTAACAATTCCAAAGGATTATTTCCTTAAATTGATAACATGCAATATAATGCAAAAGGAAGAAAATCACACAAAATGCATTTTATAATAGATGAAGGATCCAAAACTATCTCCTGGAGAACATACAACCAGGAGGCAGCATTAGTGAGTCTGGGGCAGCCAGAATCTGCTCGAGACACACACACACACACACACACACACACACACACACACACACAACATGGCATAATCCTCCCCATGTTGCCCAGGGTGCCCTTGAACTCCTCAGCTCTAGTTATCTGCCCACCTTGGCCTCCCAAAGTGCTAGGATTACAGGCACACGTGGCCATGACAGCTTCTTGTTTATGGTAGTTCTTTTGGTGGTCACAAGACTTTTTTTAATAAATGGTTCTTTGCTTTTGGTAAAACATTTGATTTTCAGTGAACTGACCTTACCTGCCTTCCTGCCTTCCTCAGCGGCCTGGATGGACAAGAAGAGTTTTGTTTTGATTGGTTTTATTTTGTTCTTTGACAAAACCAGTGAATTTTGTTTGTTTTGGTATTTACTACCTCACATAGAGTGATATGTCTTATTCTTAAAAAAAAAATTGCTATGAATATATACATTTGAATTAATAATATTATTTGAAGATTCTTTTTATTGCTTACTTCACATTTCCTAAAAATTCTAAAATTATATGTACTTCTATAATTCAAATAGTCTGGAATAATCATTCTTATATAAGACACACTTGAGAACATTTTTCCCCTGACAAACTAGAAAACTACGTAATTTGCAAAGTACTTTGTTATTTTGATGCTGTGTTAAAGCAAAAGGTTAATTATAATGCACCTTAATCCTGCTTTTAAAAAGCAATTTGTAGGGATTTGTTATGTAAATAGATTTAGTTTGGCATTCTCTAAACAGATTTCTAATAGGGTACTTGAAAGATTTTGCATTTTAAAAAGTACTTTTTAATTTTCATTTATGCAAAATTTTTGGTCAGGTTCAGGTTGAAAAATACATCTTTTTAAAGATGTATTTTTACATCTTTACATGTTTTTACAAAAAATTGTAAATTGTTCATTTTAGGATATTGAACATGATATTTATCAATCTTGAATTAGGACAAAAATTACCTTTAAAAGATAATTTTAAAAAATTTTAATTTTACAGGCACGGTGGTTCATGCCTGTAATCCTAGCACTTTGGGAGGCCCAGGCAAGCAGACCACTTGAGCTCAGGAATTTGAGACCAGCCTGGGCAACATGGCAAAACTCCATCTCTACTAAAAATACAAACATTAGCCAGGCCTGATGGCACCCACCTGTATTCCCAGCTACTCAGGAGGCTGAGGTGGGAGGATGGCTTAAGCCTAAGAGGCGGAGGTTGCAGTGAGCCAAGATTGCATGACTGCACTCCAGCCTGGGTGACAGAGTGAGACTCTGCCTCAAAAAAAAAAAAAAAAGAAAAAAGAAAAAAAGTAAATGATACAAATAATAGGACACTTTCTAAAAACTAAAGCTAATACAGTTGGAGAAATACTTTCACGAATAACTTCTTGAACTAGAAAGATAGATCCAGGGAGAAGAAATACAACTAAAGTTATTCATAGACATAAAATTATATTCAAATCTTAAATGGGAAATTAATTTTTTAAAATTACTAAATAGCATACCCCAAGAATTCCATCATAATCTTGGGAGACTGTGTGTTCCTTCTGTTATACTCTGGTGAGCAGCTCACTACCTGAGAAGTGTAGGCAAAATGGAAGGAGTTCAGAGATAAGTAGCAGACATGACCAATGGCCTTGAAAATCTAACCCACAGGGAAAGATACAGAAAAGGCCAATAGACAGCTTAGAAAGACTGGCAAAGCTGAGCACACAGGGAGGGGATAACACCACATGAAGAAGTAGCACCATGATAAGTGTAGTAGAACCATGATAAGTGTGGAAGAACTATTTCGGAAGGGGGGTGCGGTGGAAAGGACCAAAATGAGCATGTAAAACTGGATAGAGAAACTAACAAGGACATGTTCAGGATGATGATATGTGATGCTGGGTGAGAAACTTCAAAGTGTACTGGACCAGAATATTTAAGGGTCTAGCGTATGTGACTTTTTTCTCAAGAAGTAGTGAAAGATTTGCTGCATCCTACCACCCATTCAGCCCTCAAAAATGGAAAATCTTCCTTTCCTCCAGGACCAACACCTACAAGTTACTTCCAGCTCCAAGAGGCCGTGCAGAGGAAGGGGCCTCTGTGTGTAATTTTTCTGTCAGGATAGGCCATCTGTTCCTGGTTTGCATTAAGAGTCTTGTACGTGTTGGTGCACTCCTGGCAATTTGGACCAAGTAAGCTATGTTCCAAAAGCAATGCTCTGCTTCAGATTTTTGTGTTCAGTCTCTTCAACCAAATGCAAAGGTGAACAAAGCCATCATGACATTTCAGGGTGTATTTATTTCATATTGTGTTTAATTTACAGAAGCATTTCAAGTGAGTCCATTCTAAGCTCAAACTTTTTAAAGTCTTGAAGTGTTAAAATATGTAAATATATAAGAAAATGTAAACAACTCTGATTTTAAAGTATCATATGGAGAAAAGCATTCTAATAATAAAAACTATGTAATTTTTTGGAGATATAATATTAGCCCTTTTTTTGACAATGCTGTTCAATTAGACCAGCCTCTCTGGCTTAGATCATGGATCTTTAAAATGTCTTATGAGTTAAAAGAGAAGCTTGAGATTTGGGGGTGAACAGGAGAGAGAGGAAAATTAGCAGAGAATAAGAGAAATTTATGAATCAAACCATCATACCCAGGTGACACATGTGACAAACAAATTGTGGCATGTGAGATTACACCTAAAATATTTATAGAAGAGAAAATAAAATGGAGTTATCCCACAGATGGCCTGAGAGAACTTCAGATAGTTTAGAAAACAGCCAGTCATCTTGCAGCAGAGTTTTTAAGTTACTTTTTCTGCTAGTGTTAAAGACAGCATGGAAGCATAGGATGCCTTGTCTGATGGTTATAACTATCTTTTCCCACCAGGTGAGTCATGGTTTTTTTTCCTAGTTTTTAAAACTTGACTTGCTTGAATGCACACACACACACACACACACACACACACACCTCCTTAAAATAAATGTCTCTGTCTATGTACACATCTTGCTGGTTTTGTACAAAACCCTGACTAATACAGTGAGCATATGGCAAATGGCAGTTGACCATAACCCAACCACCTAACCTTCCACGTCGGGCTCAACTGTCAGCTCTACCGAGTCATAAGAAGGAAATCTTGTCTTGCTTCCTAGTTTCTTCTTTGTTTCTAATTCCTTAGCCAGGATTGAGTGGGCTCTTGCTTTCTTATTTTCTGGGCCCCCGTGTAATTTCTCCAGTCCCCTTAGGCAGAGAAACAGCACACTTTTGTTTTGACTTTTTAATTAAATTTTCTATTTTGAGATAATTGTAGATTAGCACGAAGTTGTAAGAAATAATACAGAGGGATCATCTTTAGCCTTTACCCAGTTTTCCCCAATGGCAACATCTTGCAAAACTATAGTACCACAGGCATGAGATTGACATTGATATAGTCAAGATACAGGATGTCTTCATCACCACAAGGATCCCTCCTATTGCTCTTTTACAGACATGCTCACTTCCCTCTCACTCTCACCTCCTCCTTACCTCCTGGCAATCACTAATTTGTTTTCATGTCTATAATTTTGTCCTGTCAAAAATCCTATATAAATGGAATTAAACTGATTATAACCTTAGAATTGGCTTTTTCACTCAGCATAAGTATCTAGAAATTTATTCAGGTTGTTGAATGTATCTGAATAGTTTTCCTTCGTATGAATATACCACAGTTTTTCAACCATTCATTTGTTGAAGGACATCTAGATTGCTTCCAATTTTGGCTATCATGGATACAGCTGTTATGAATGTTCATGTGTGGGTTTTCATGTGAACTTAAGTTTTTATTTATCTGGAATAAATGCTTAGGAGTGAAATTACTGGATCATATGAAAATTACATTTTTAGTTTTTTAGAAACTACAAAACTGTTTTCTAGAGTGATTGTACCACTTTACATTCCTGCCAGCAATGAGTCATTCAGTTTCTCTATCTTTTCTGAATTTTGTGTTGTCACTATTTTTTATTTTAGCCATTCTGATAGTTATGTAATGATATTTCAGTGCAATTTTAATTTCCTTAATGGCTAATGGTTTTGACATCTTTTCATGTGCTTATTTGTATCTGTATATCCTTTCTGGTCAAATCTCTTCTGTGTTTTGCCCAATTTTTAATGGATTTTTTTTTTTACTATTGAGATTTGAGAAATCTTTATCTATTCTAGATACTAGTATCTTGCTAGATATGTGGTTTGCAATTTTTCTTTCAGCTTGAAGCTTGTTTTTTAATCACCTTAAGAGAGGTTTTTGCAGAAAAAAAAGTTTTTCATTTTGATCAAGTACAGTTTATCAGTTTTTTTTAATGGACCATGCTTTTGGTGTTAAATCTAAACACTCTTTGCTTAGCCCTAGATCTCAAAGATTGTCTCCTGTGTTTTTCTAACATTTTTATAGTTTTACATTTAAGTCTATGGTTCATTATGTGGTTTTTTAATATATAAAGTCTGATTTTTATATTTTATCTTGTATTGTGGGACCCTGCTGAACTCACTTTATTAGTTCTAAAAGTATTTTTATATATTCCTTGGAACTTTCATGCAGATATTCATGTTACCTGCAAATAGGGGCAGTTGGACTTCCTCCTTTCCTATCTATAGGACTTTTATTTCTACTCCTTTTATTTGTTCTTTCTTTTCTTGCTAGAACTTCCAGTGCTATACTGAATAAGAAGAGAGTGGACATCTTAGCCTTGTTGCTGATTTTAGAATGAAAGCATTCAGTATAATGTTAGCTGTAGGTTGTTTGAAGATACTCTTTATGAAGCTGAGAAAGTTCTCCTCTATTACAGTTTTTCTGGGTTTTTCTCATGAATGTGTGCTGAATTTTGTTAAATAATTTTTCTGTATTTCTTGACACAAACGTGATTTCCTTCTTTAATCTGTTAAGATGGTGGTTACTTTGATTTTCAACTAGTGAGCCAACCTTGCTTTCCTGGAATAAACTCCCTGGTCATGGTATATAATTCTCATTGTATATGGCCAAAATCCATCGGCTAATATTTTCCTAATAATGTTTGCATCAATATTTATGAGGAATATTGGTCAGTAGTTTTCTCTCTTTTTTAATGTTTTTGTCTGATTTTGGTATCAGGGTAATACCAGCTTCATAAAATGAATTAGGAAGCATTCTCTTTGCTTCCCTTCTCTGGGAGAGATTACATAGATTTGGTTTTATTTTTTCTTTTGGATTTTTTTTTTTTTTTTTTTGAAATCTCACTCTGTTGCCCAGGCTGGAGTTCAATGGTGCGATCTCGGCTCACTGCAACATCTGCCTCCTAGCGAGTCTATTGCCTCAGTCTCCTGAGTAGCTGGGATTATGGGTGCCTGCCACCACACCCAGCTAATTTTTGTATTTTTAGTAGAGATGGGGTTTCACCATGATGGCCAGGCTAGTCGTGAACTCCTGGCCTCAAGTGATCCACCAGCCTTGGCCCTCCAAAATGCTGGGATTACAGGTGTGAGCCACTGCTCTCAGCCCCTCTGGAAAATTTTAACTTACAAATTTAAATTCTTTAATAACCATAGAATTACTCAAATTATCTATTTCATGCTGGGTGAGATGTGATTGTTTCTGTTTTTTGAGGAATTGTTCATTTTATCTAAGCTTTCAAATGTATGTGTGTAGAGTCATCTGTAGTATACCCTCCTAACCCTTTTGTTGTCTTTAGAGTCTATAGTGACATCCTCTGTTTCATTCATGATATTGGTAATTTGTGTCTGCTGTCTTTACTCCTTGTAATGCTGCTGAGAAGAGGTAGAAATTTAGGTTTCCCTGCTGGTTGCTGCTCCTCATCAGGAGGAAAGTACAGAGAGTAGGGTAAGGTGGGAGTGAGCAGGTGTGATGATGGGGAGTGAATCTTGGCACTGCCCTGTGGGGATAAAAGTTCTGCCTCTTTATTCAGCTCTCCCTGACAACACCCTGATGAGAGTCGGGGTAGGTTGGGATGCCTCCTTATAGCTTGGTGGTGGTGGAAGCATAGGCTCCTCATTTAGCCTTTGCTGGCCTGGATGAGGGTGGGTCCACCATTTTATTTGGGGTGTTTGAGCAGTGGGGTAATTTTTTCTAAAAGATTTTCTTTTTGCTAGGCTTCCGTATTAGTCAGTACGGACTATACGTACATATATATATGTACACACACACACATATATATGTATATATATGTATAAATGTTTATTTTATATATATTCATGTTTATTAAGTATTCATTAAGTACGAACTTACACAATCACAAGGTCCCACAATATGCTGTCTGCAAGCTGAGGAGCAAGGAGAGCCAGTCCGAGTCCCAAAACTGAAGAACTTGGAGTCTGATGTTCGAGGGCAGGAAGCATCCAGCATGGGAGAAACATGTAGATTGGGAGGCTAGGACCGTATCATCACTTCACGTTTTTCTGCCAGCTTTGTATTTACTGGCGGCTGATTAGATGGTGCCCACCTGATTAAGGGTGGATCTGCCTTCCCCAGCCCACTGACTCAAATGTTAATCTCCTTTGGCAACGCCCTAACAGACACCCAGGATCAATATTGCATCCTTCAATCCAATCAAGTTGACACTCAGTGTTAACCATCACAGCTTCTTTCCTGGTCCTTTGGTTAGAGAGAGTAGGCTTTTCCTGGGGCTCATTCTGATCTGTGCCCATTGTTTTTTCTGTGTTGCTGGCTTCTTCAACTTCTACTCTGGGATATATGAAGCAAAAAGAAAACTCAAGGGATTTACCACCGTTTTTTTGCCAGGAGGTCCTGAGGTCTCTAGCTAGTCTGTCTTCTTCCCCGCATCTTTCAGAGTTCTTATCTATCTATCATCTGTCCGTGTATCATCTCCAGGGTTTTATTCCAGGGAGGAATAGAGAAATTTACATATACTTCATTTTCCTGGGAGTGCAGGTTCTCAGCATGTTTTTTTAAAAAAATAAAATAATAATAAAATTTTTTAAAAAGCCAGGATTTCTTACAGTATCTTTGTTATAGGCAAGGCTACCACTGCTTGCTTTTCAATGTATGTGGGCTGAATAGGTGTCAGTTTCCTATCTTCTCAGCCAGCTTGGAGTCAACTCTGTATATTTGATTTGTATTTGCAGTTAAACATGATTCTGACCTTCACATTCCTTTTGACAGCTCAGTGGCTATTTTTTGGTGCCTTTTCAATTACAAACAAAAACTGAAGCCCAAGCTTTGCCTTTTGGCTTTTGCTCACTGGATTGGCTTCCTTCTAATTTGAGGAGATCTAAACTATCAAGTGTTTTCTGCTCCCTCCCTGGGAAATGGAAGATTTAACATGAGGAGAAATTATGAGTGAGTTGGTCCACTTCTCCCTCTTCTTCTCTTGAGGGCTGCTCTATTCCTCATCCACCTGTAGTCACAACTCTGCCAAGAATCTAGTGTCTGTTGAACCCCATGGCTGTACCCCCACTGGGATCTGCCCTTCATAGAATTCTATGGGATTTTGGCTCTTCTTGCTCCCTGCTGCCAAATATCTCTACTTAGAATCCCATTTCTTCATCTAGCCCATTGCTGAGAAATAGATGAAGTATATGTGTAAATATATGGATGGCTGTTTATTCCTGTGTTAACCTTTCTAGTTAAAGAATTTTCATCTGACAATGGTCTTCCTCAGGCAGAGACTTAATATAAAATGACTTACAAGGAGGCATGTTAGCAGGGATTATGTTTATAAGGAAGGGTCTCCAGGGCCCTTTCAATCATAGCATTTGGCATCTTTATATTTTATTCAAGCATAGTTGTTAAAGAGACAAGGGCTTCATTCATCCTTCAAGACTCACCTGAGGCTTAGCCTTTTTGAAAGTTTTCTCTGACTTCCTCCATTCTGGTATAGATCGCCCTCCATCCTCTGTGTTTCCACATCACCTGGTAAGTCATTCCATCATTGCTGTGATCATTCAATATTTGTTAGTTTACATGTCTACATCCCTTACTAAACTTTAAGAGAGGGCCTATGTTGGTCAACTTTGTAAATGCAATTATCTGTCACAGTAATTGTACATGGAGATACTCAATAGATACTTGGTACACAAATACATAAATGAATACATGAATGATGGATTGATCTAGGTTATGAAATAAAAAGGCCTTTTACAGGTCTTTTACCTTTCTTTCTTTTGGCTTTGGGTGAATAGTGATTTTTGCCTTTAAGCTTACAAGAAATTATTATCACTTGGAAGAAGCAGAAAAACTATAACTCAGAGAGCAGAAATCTTGCATGAAAGGTTAAATGAGTGTAACTTGTCATATAATTGAAATTTAAATATAATATACTAGTTTTATAGGGGAGAACCTTCCATAAACCTTTCATGGGAATTAAACATGAAGCTTACTAAGAGGAGCACTTAAACTGTCACTTTAGCTTATTAGGAAAATACTTGCTCACTTTATCCAAAAGCAGAATAATCATTGTTGCGAAAGTCTGAAATTGACTATGGCTTCAGATCACTAAAATATGCTGGATTTTACTTTTAAAGATTATACAATCTTGTAAAGTTATATATTTTGAGTACAACAAGTAAGTTTTTAAAGGAAATTTAAATATGAACATGATATAAGGAATATTCTTCCTTCTCCAAGTGTGTCTGCCCTAATCTTTTGGACATTTTGTTGGTATGAAAATGGTGAACATAATTATTCTAATGGTTTATCATTACAAGTTTATTGAATAATGTGGAAAATTATACATACTAACTTATTTGCTCAAAATTAGAGGCTATTAGAGAAGTGTGAATCTACAGTCTGCTTCAAAGAAGCCGTGATTTGTTTATGAACTGTTCATAGTTATGAACTATTTGATTACAGGTTTCTTGATTCATGGTCATAATTTGCTGGTTGTTATCTCCCACAGAGAGGAACAGAGTTTTAGAGAAAGAAAGTTTAATATATATTTAGTCATTAATCTCCCAATAAGAACTGGGTTTTGGTAAGACTATAAATTTCAGCAAGAAAAAGATTAAAATGACAATCTTTAAGTTTCTTGACAAACTTGGAGCATATTGTTCGTTTGTTCATGCTTTTATTTATACTTGAAACATATTATAAATCCAACCCAACATTTTCTCCACCTACAATATTATTTCTTCACATCTTTTCCTTTTCACCAAGCTCCTCTCTTAGTTAATGCCATAAACATCCTTCTAGTCTCCTGGCTGGAAATCTTGAAGCCATTTCCAACTCCTCATTTTCCTTAATCTTCCACAACTTATGAAATACTAATTCTAGTTGGTTCTGCCCACAAAGTTCCTGTCATACTTGCTATTTCCTTTTCATTGACATTACCGTTGGCTGATTCCAAGTTCTTAGTATCTCTTGCTTGAATTAATAAAATATTCTCTAACTTGAGTACAGGTTTCTGATATTTACCAATTTTCATCCATTGTGCCATTGTCCTTCTTTAATGCTGTGAAATTATTTGCATTGCATTTGAGTCTCTTGTATTGATCCTTCAATACAACCATAGAAGCCCACGGTTTCCCAAGCATGCCATTTTAAAACCTCTGTTTGGTTTATGCTAGAAATGGCAAAATAGACCTTAACACTTAGGCTCAAATCAGAAGCAACTTTTGACAGTTTCCGTGCAAATCCTACCCTTCTGAACTATGTGGCAGGAAAGAGCATATGGTAAAAGAGAAAGAAGAATGTACTAGAAACATGTTATACTCATTTTCCCTTCATCAGCCTCCCCATACTTCCAATATCATTATTCTTTTTTCTAATACCCTCTAAATGCCCCTGCATGTCCTATGTCCTGACCTGGGGCAGGGCTGATTGGGAGGGTCTAGTTGGTTGCTGAAGAAAAGGAGAAAAGCTAAACTTCAATACACATGCCACTTTTGAGTGAACATAGGGTCTGAAGCATTCCTTGAGGAACAGTAGAATCATGGGCTTGGTGTTGACACAACCCAATCATTCATTTACTTAATCCAACTTTATTGCTCACCAGTTTCCCAAACTTAGGGACAATGTGTATAATGCCATTTGCACCTTGGTTCTCTCCTATGTGAAAAGGTGATGATAGATTTAAAACCACCCACCATTTTCTGCTGATGGTACATTCCTTATCGTATCAAAAAATAGAGCAGAAGAAGCACAGATGTGGAGAGAAGCTGTGCAAGTGTGATGTGGACATGCTTTTGAAGTACATTCCTCATGCTCTCTTCTCCCCGAACTTTGTTTCCGGCTGTGTGATGTAGAAGTAAGGGAAAGGTGGGAAAGTGGGTCAGGGATTTTCCCACTGCTTTAATGCAGCTACTACTCATGTGCTCTGTAACGGCAAATGTAAGGAGGAGAGAGACAGCTCTCAGTTGCTCCACAGGCTGCTGTTTCATGCATTCTATACAGCATGGTTCATACTGGAGCCCTGCTGCGAGACAGGAGACAGACACAGTCCTCATTGAGAAGAGGTTGTGGACTAGACTGTAGACGGAAATGGAAGCATTTGGATCATAGAATTGGAGAGGTGAATAAGGTTCTCAGTTATTCAGAATTAGCACCAGAGTCTTACTCTGTAAAACATATGCAGAACCCAGAAAAAAAGCCAACTGGCAATGGTAAAGCCTATGGAGAGGCCCCACCCTACAAGGGCAGGTGATTGCTCACACCAGTAAGCTTGTTACTTGTTTAAGAGGGAATTGTTAAAGAGGGAATATATTTTTCTAAAATGAGAAGCCATAGCCCATAAATATTAAGTGGCAAGTTGTGAACCATTGAAAAGTCAATCTAGAAACATGTTAATTAGAGTAAGAGCCAGAGAAGTGACTAAATAGATACCTGGGAAAGGAAATTTGGTCTTGGTAGTACTTGATTGATCACACTATGGATAAAGGGCTGTAAATCATGTGGTGGAAGCTAGAACCTTGTGAGAATGGAAATGGGGCTATAAATTATGACAATTTATTTTTTCTTTTCATAAATTAGCAATAATGCAAAGACAGATAGCTCAGGAGTGTATTCATTCTTTTTGTTTTTTTTCTTTTTGAGGAGAATTCCATTGTGCAGATATACTAGTTTGTTTATTCATTCACCTGTTGATGGACAGCTGGGTTGTTTGCAGCTTTTGATTATCATAAATTAATTTGTTATGAACATCAATGTACAGTGTTTGTGTAGACATATGCTTTCTTTTCCCTTGGTAAAATACCTAGGAATAGAATGGCTGGATCATATGGTAGTGTTTGTGTAACTGTTTAAGAACCTGTCAAATTGTTTTTCAGAGTGGTTATACCATTTTACATTCCTACTAGTGTTCCTGGAACGAAGCCGGGTCTGGCTGCGTTTTCTCAAGTCCCAATAATGAGAAGCAGACAAACTAGGAAGAGGGGAATTTATTACTGTAACTGGATACAGTGAGGAGGCCAGAAGTAATTCCACCAGACCAACTCAAAGTGTTAAAATTTTCTTAGTCCTTATATAGATTGGGGCTATGTGCCTACAGCATAGCATTTGCCTAAGTCTATTGGTAACTAATTTTCTTCCAACTAGAAGATCAGAGGCAAAAAATGCTTGCTAAGTCTGATTAAAAGGGCCCCAGTACATTCAAGTCCTGCCTACAGTGGTACCGGAGTGATTATTTCTATCTTATCTCCTATACAGCTTGGTCTGGAGAGCTGCCTTAGACTCTCCAGTGAATCTATTCAAACAGCTGCCTCTGTTACCTTGACTTGTCTCAGATTTTGTTGACCCGACACAGGTCCTGGCACTAGGAATGTAAAACTGTTTATTATTTTGGCTTCCTCCAGCAAGGGAGAAGCCCATAGAAGCCTCCTACTGACTATATGTTTCACTTCTATATTTTTTTATTTTTATTTATTTTTATTTTTTTATTGTACTTTAAGTTCTAGGGTATATGTGCACAATGTGCAGGTTTCTTACTTATGTATACATGTGCCATGTTGTTGTGCTGCACCCATTAACTCATCATTTACATTGGGTATATCTCCTAATGCTTTCCCTCCCCCCACCTCACAACAGGCCCCGGTGTGTGATGTTCCCCTTCCTGTGTCCAAGCGTTCTCATTGTTCAATTCCCACCTATGAGTGAGAACCTGCAGTGTTTGTTTTTTTGTTCGTACGATAGTTTGCTGAGAATGATGGTTTCCAGCTGCGTCCATATCCCTACAAAGGACATGAACTCATCCTTTTTTATGGCTGCATAGTATTCCATGGTGTATATGTGCCACATTTTCTTAATCCAGTCTATCATTGATGGGCATTTGGGTTGGTTCCGAGCCTTTGCTATTGTGAATAGTGCCACAATAAACATACGTGTGCATGTGTCTTTATAGCAGCATGATTTATAATCCTTTGGGTATATACCCAGTAATGGGATGGCTGGGTCAAATGGTATTTCTAGTTCTACATCCTTGAGGAATCGCCACACTGTCTTCCACAATGGTTGAACTAGTTTACAGTCCCACCAACAGTGTAAAAGTCTTCCTATTTCTCCACATCCTCTCCAGCACCTTTGTTTCCTGACTTTTTAATGATCACCATTCTAACTGGTGTGAGATGGTATCTCATTGTGGTTTTGATTTGCATTTCTCTGATGGCCAGTGATGATGAGCATTTTTTCATGTATCTGTTGGCTGCATAAATGTCTTCTTTTGAGAAGTGTCTGTTCATATTCTTTGCCCACTTTTTGATGGGGTTGTTTGGTTTTTTCTTGTAAATTTGTTTGAGTTCATTGTAGATTCTGGATATTAGCCCTTTGTCAGATGAGTAGCTTACAAAAATTTTCTCCCATTCTGTAGGTTGCCTGTTCACTCTGATGGTAGTTTCTTTTGCTGTGCAGAAGCTCTTTAGTTTAATTAGATCCCATTTGTCAATTTTGGCTTTTGTTGCCATTGCTTTTGGTGTTTTAGACATGAAGTCCTTGCCCATGCCTATGTCCTGAATGGTATTGCCTAGGTTTTCTTCTAGGGTTTTTATGGTTTTAGGTCTAACATGTAAATCTTTAATCCATCTTGAATTAATTTTTGTATAAGGTGTAAGGAAGGGATCCAGTTTCAGCTTTCTACATCACGCTACCTGACTTCAAACTATACTACAAGGCTACAGTAACCAAAACAGCATGGTACTGGTATCAAAACAGAGATATAGACCAATGGAACAGAACAGAGCCCTCAGAAATAATACCACACATCTACAACCATCTGATATTTGATAAACCTGACAAAAACAAGAAATGGGGAAATAATTCCCTATTTAATAAATGATGTTGGGAAAACTGGCTACCGATATGTAAAGTATTCATTCTTTACATACGAACATCTTTGGAAGGATAATGTTAGTCTACCTAAGCATTCCTCTTCAGCTCTGGTAAAATAACTCTGTTTAACTTTAGTCTCTATGTGTTTATTTCTACAGTGTTTATCACTGGCAAACCTTCAAAATAATAACCATATTTAGATTAAATAGAAAGTTTATTTAAGATATGATAAAATTATTTAGAAATTACTCCAGGTGCTTGCTAGAGTGTAAATGTGTACATCTGAATAGGATGTTGGAAGGAGATAATCTCAAGCCATTGTCCTTGTCTACACCATCAATGACAAGGGATTTAGCAACATGTTCTGAATTGAGTTATTTTCTTCATCTTCAGTTATTTTGTACTTTTTCAGTTTCTCCAAAAATAGGAAGGTGGGATTTTAGAATGGGTCATCTGAACCCTGGGACACGCATACATTCAGAAAAGTGTTTTCACTTTCATAGAAGATTGTCATTAAAATGTTGTAGTCAAGAGCAAGTAGAGCATAGAGCATAAGATTCCCTTTATGGGGAGCTAGAGTTGTTCTAGTCTGTGAGGGACTTTTAGGTGCCTGAAAAGAGGGACTCAATTAGCTTGGAATGAAAATTTGTTAGCTCTTTAAGGATTAATTTTTTTCTCTGTAGCTATAGAGAGTATAATGCCACTGTTGACTAAAAACTTGTAGAATGTGAGAAACAGTGCTGTGAAATTATTTCCTAAAAGAATAACATCTCTAACTGTGATGTTCTATAAAGTAAGAGTGTAACTATAAATTGAAGTTACCAATCCAAATGATGGTAGGTAAGAGGGAGGATCTTCAAGTTGAGATAGTATTTGAATTAAAAATGAGTAGTTACAAGCAATTACAGTCATTTTATGATACGTATTTTATTTTCTATTTTTTGAGGGAAAAGTGTAGCCCATTATCAATCAAAAAAAACAGTTGTTTCAATTTTGGAAAGTGCTGACTGCTGATATATGAGCAGTTCAGAATTCTTGCTTGCTCTTGGCAAAGAACATTCTGTAACTTGAAATATTCTACTGTTTGCTAGGCCCTAGAAATGTCAACAGTAGTAAAGTGAGGATGAGATTTGGTGAGCTTAAGAGTGGTTTGGCTAGAAAACTGGAGAAAGTACTCAGGGACACCATCATAGCTGACAGAGTGGTGTATTTCCAGGGTACTAGAATGAGGTAGACATGGCTTGCCTTCTCTGGCAGTCTTCTAATGAAAGATTTGGGTTTTTTTCTTACTGAGATGGCTCAGATAACATCCTCTTTGGGTTAAAGATATAGTCCTTCTGTCCCTGAGGTTTGATGAATTTCCTTGCAGACCCTAGGTACACATTCTGTCATCTGGAGTAATTTTAAAACAGGATTGCCTTTAAATTACCTGTTCTTGGGCCTGCATTACTTACTATACCATAGTGTTACCCTCACATTCTTCCAGAGCCACATCCCCACTTTTCTGAATGCTGGAGGAAGTTCTGCACATCCAACAGGAAGAGTAAGGTCAATGGAACACTAAGCCCAGCCAGGCAGAAATAAAGAAGATAAAATAGTCATTCTGGAAAGAGGTAGGATTAAGTTCCCTTCAAAAACTTAAGGGAGAGTTCATCTTAGCACTGTCTTTTCTAGGTCATGGCAGAGGTCTGCCCTTAATCCACTGTCAAAAACAGTTTATCTTTCTCCTTTCCCAGACTATGTATCATCCATGTCCATTAGTGGAGAAAAGAGTTGGTCTATCAAATTCTGCTGAGCTTTTGTACTTTTGCCAAAACGTTTAATCATCTCTATGGACAGCTGAAAGCCAAATAGAACCAACTATACAATCACCTTATTTGTTTTGATTAATTAATTAAAATTGCTAAAATTTAACTTGTCAGTGTTTCCTCTGAAATTAGTGGGAAATATAAAGACAACTTCTTGCTGAAAAATAAGACATGATTCTAAAGGTAAATTAAATTTTTTTTAAAAAGTGGTTGTGTCTCACAAGCTCAGAGTTTCCGTTATAATGGTCCAGCTGCTTGGCAGTAAACCACGTTAGTGCAGCAGCCACACGGTTTTAGATTTCGCCATCAAAATGCACACAGCAAAACCAAGCAGAAAAGCCCAATTGGAGTAAATGCGCAATTCATCAAGATACAAAGTGCCAGAGGAGATCTAAAATATTTCTTTAGAAGTCTTTCTTCCTGCATTTGCTTATTTCTTTTAATAGAAGTAGAATAGAAACTGTGGTTAACCGGAAGTTCCTATTCAAATATGCTTTCTTGTGATATAGAAAACATTTTTATTTTTACTTTCAGACATATCCAGAACTGAAATGTGATGGTAAATAGGGTAATGATTTGGATAGAAAAATCTAAGATGTTTGACTTTAGTCATTGCAAAGGAAAATGGTTTTTATCTGGAGTCTTAGTTTGGTAGCATTGGAAAACCACAAAGATAAGAAGACTGAATTAAGACATTTTAACTAGGTATCCCAAGAACAATGGTCTTGATGAAACAATGAAAACTATGGCTTTTAGATTGGAAAATATTTTGCAAGTCAAACATTTGGTAACTTCATTTTAGGGATACATGTGAGGTTTAACATATAATAGTAATATAAAGTTAAATATATAAGTAAGGTGTAATCTGAAAATGTCCACTTTCAATCAGTCTGTGGGTATATATTTGGTAGCCTTCATGTGTCTAATTGGAAAGCACTAGCTCCCAGCACACTTGTCCCCCAGGAATGACTTACACCCTAAACAGGGTGCTGCTTCTCTCTCAGCATGGGCCATGCTGCCTTGTCCTCTGGTCATTCGCCCAGCTATGTAGTCATCCCCTGTGTTTGGTCACATCCCCATGGTGGATCCTCCTGGATATTGTCTTCAGAAACAGCCCAAAGTATAATCACCTTCAATTGCTAAAATGGCAAAACCTTAGGGTTAAGCACAAAACAGTGCTTTATCCCTTCAATCCTCACTGTACCTGAGCTACTCTGTGGTTTGTGTCAAGGTGATTGTCTTCCCACTCTCAGCATAACTTTGTACCTGGACATGAGCATTACCTCTTGTGCTCTGAGTCTCACCAAGTCTCTTTTGAAAATGGTTTTTTCACTTTCTGCTTGAAAACTACCTCCTCTTAAAGCCTCAAAACTTAGCTGGTTCAGGATCAGATGCCACCACAATTTCCTTTCACAGCTCTCCTCCGGTTTCCAGGTAGTAATTTAACTCCTGCAATTAGACTCCAATGCGTTGCCCCAGCAATAGCACCTCATCCTACACACCCTGAAAGGACTGCATTTCCTCTAGGGCCAGCCAGGACCAATCATGATGTGTTGAGAGAACTGTCTCTATCATAAGGCATGAGAAGCCTTAAGCTCTGCAGAATTTACACATCTAAAGTTGTTTCCAGATAGACCTCAAAGCTTTTCAGACCATCCCCTTCTCCCTTCACTCCAAACAACTCCTCCCAGGAACCTCAAACAGTAGGAGAGAAAAGTGAAGCGAGACAAATCAATCCATCATACATTTAAATGAGCATGACAAGGTAATCCTGAAACTTTTGTGTGACAAAGAAGCTCAACACTTGTGATACTGCCGGAGCACATGTAGTCAATATGGAAGTTGGGAAAACTCATTTTTGTTTCATCCAGGTACTCCTTCTGATTTAAAGTGATCGAAGTGGAAAAAGACACTAAAACTTTGTGTTCTCTAAAATTGATCCAGAGAAGCATAGGACTCAGAGGACAACTGAGATCCAGTTATCCTCCTTCTGTACACCTTAGAATTTAGGAAATTTCCCAAAATGACTTCATCCATCAAAAGCCTATATTGACTAATAACAAACTTATGGGTTGATGGGATTTCTTTTACTTGCTGATTATTGAATCTGTCAGGAAATGCTAGAAATATGTTGTATTCTTTTTCTTACCTAGAGAGAGAAGTTGTATATGTCATGTATATATCACATCAGTGATAATGCCATGTCACAACTAAAAGTTGAATGTATGAATAAAAAGACTTAGTACTTTGAGCATTATCTTGGAGAGAGTACCTACTGACTGAAAAAATTTTAAGGGACTGTAGGGAACTTTAAAGTAGAGGTCTTTTTTAAAGTAACAATTTGTATTACTACAGTTTATTTGCTTCCCCACCTCCACCCAAAAGAAAAAAATGGAATGAAGGTGTAAGGAGTCAAAAGTGAGTGGTTTGGAGGAAAGACTAAAATTTTATTTGGGAGAAATCAGTTCTTTGATCAACTGGAAACTTACCTGCTTAGGACGTGGAACTTCCTGGGGTTAAATTGCCTTTACAGAGGATAAAGGAATTTTCAGACTTTGAAACACTCTTTGCAGATGTGCAGATGTAATCAGGTTTATTGACTGATCTTTTATTAACAGTTTTAAGAAATACAATAGATCCATGACATGGTCGACTTTAAAATGCACCATTTGGACAACTCCTAAGCAACCCAAAGGGTTAAAATAGGTGGTTTGCTAAGGCACAAATTTGATACAAAACCACTGCAAGGATAAATGAAGAAAGGGGTTTCTTAGCTATATGGTTAGACTAGTAGGCATTCACACTGGGTAAAAGAAGGGCACAATTAAATTGTTAGAACCCAGGGGATCAAAGGAGAGACCCCCTCCTCCATTTCCAGAACTGATGCTTGAACCCCTCAGGTGAAGGCCCAGCCCTATAGTGCTTGGCTTTTTGAGGGAGAACATAGAGCAGGAGATGTGCAGTGTGGCTGATGCTGATACCTCTGGGGCCCACACTGTGGAGTGCTTGGACCAATTGATGCAGAACAGCTAGCTGCTATTCTGAACTTAGTGCAGCTGGGACTGAGAGTACTTAGAGAAACTGGAAACTGGAGCTGGAGCTGGAGTTGTCATTTGCAACTAGGCAGATGCTGAAAGAATCTAGAAACCTGCCAATCACCAGCCAATGGCTCCCATTGATGAAACCATACTGGAATCCAGCTGGCAAGGAAACCTAGGACATGAAGTTTCCAGAGCCTCAGACTCACCACCCCAGAATGGAATACAGAAGAGAGACCATTTGCCAGTAATCCCATACAGTAGCCCTACTCATCTTCAGAAATGTTGGCCAACTTGCCCAAAGTCACAGTTGGGAAGCAGAAGGGATGGGATTCTTGACTAGATATACAGGGATGGAAAAACCCATTCTCTTCCTGTTATATCAAGATGCTTTGAAATGAAAAAAAAAAAAAAGTTCCATTTTAAATTTATTCTTATTAAAAGAAACACCAATCAACCACATTAAAAATGCAACATATCTCTGTGATGGCCTAAATGACTATTACTAGTATATGTACTTTATTGCTGGGATTGAATGGGGAGGAAAATTTTAACATATACCATGTAACCTATACTACTGAAAGAACTATGGTTCACTTATTTCTTTTTCAAACTTGAAAAAGAAACCCATTTTATGAATGTAAGAGTAATCTATGCCTACTATGAAAGTTCAGAACAAAACCAAGAATTTAAAGAAGAAAATAAAAATCCACAAATAGTCAAGTCCTCTGTTAACTTTTGTTAGCTATAATTTCTGTTATAAAATGCTGCAAAATGAAAACAATCACTTTATTTATATTTTTGGAAGTTTAATCATTACTGACTGAGGAAATTTTTCTATGGTCATAATTTTAAAGCCAGAAAAACCCTCATTTTAGATGTGGAAACCAACACATAGAATGTGACAGTATTAGGATGAGAACACTGGTGTTTTGTCTCCATATCCACGGTCCTTACAGCATACTTCAGCTCACTTCACATTTACCTGTCATTGTTTCTTGCAGAAAGGAAGCTTTGTTTTCAAGAAAACGGAAATGGTATTTGTAAGTTGTATTTTTTAAAATAATACCTACTAAATTTTATTTTCCTATTTTCCCCAAGTGATTCAGTTTTTTAAAGACAGAAAACAGAGAGTTGGTTGGTTATTGTAGACTCTAAATCAAGTACACAGGACCCTTCAATTTCCCCAGCTTTAGACCAGATGAGGCTTTATGGTGCAGTACCACTTTTGAACCATTAGTAGGCACTCAAATATTTGCCAAGCTGGATAAGACTTGCCGTAAATAGCTAATAGACTGAAATTACCGTTTGCAAAATGTTTTTCTGTTTGAGGGTATTATTAAGTTAAATGCATTCCTTAAAATCCTGTCAACTAGTAATTAGTGTAACTAAAGTTGCAAATGTTCGTGAAATCAAAAATTGCTTTTAGTTTTACCATTGTTCTGGAAGAACAATTTTCAAACATCTGAATTCTTTTTTCATGGTTCATAGTCCTAGTTTATTATGTTGCTTTTTTCTCTTGTAGGTGGTAAATAGTGATTCAAAGAATAAGATAAAATATAAATGTGACTTTCCTTCTTTTAGATTCTTACTAGGAAAGAAGAAAAACTCTTCCAGATTTTTAAAAGGCTGAATCATTTGAAAACTTTGTAAATATTTAGGATTCACTAAAACTTAATTTGAGTTTATATACTTATCTTTGTAAGTTTTGAGATTGCACGTCCCTTTTTATTTTATTTTTGTAAGTTTATTTGCTTTTTAATTGACACAATTATTGTACATATTTTTGAGGTAAAATGTGTTGTTGCCATACATGTATACATTGTATAATGACCAAATAAGGTTATTTAGTATATCCATCACATCACTTATCATCTCTTTGTGGTAAGAACTTTCAGAATCCTCTCTTCTAGTTATTTGTTCTAGTTATAACAGTATTGTCAACCCTACTGTGCTATAGAACAGCAGAAATTATTTCTCCTATCTAACTGTAATTTTGTACCTATTGCATAATCCATCCCTATCCTCCTTCCCACTACAGTCCCCAGCCTCTGGTAATTACTTTTCCACTTCTGTAATATCATCTTTTTAAGATTCCACAAATGAATGACATCATGTGATATGGTTTGGCTCTGTGTTCCCATCCAAATCTCATCTTGAATTGTACTCTCATAATTCCCACATATTGTGGGAGGGACCCAGTGAGAGATAATTGAATCATGGGGGCAGTTTCCCCCATACTCTTCTCATGGTAATGAATAAGTCTCACTAGACCTGATGGTTTTATCAGTGGTCTCCACTTTTGTATCTTCCCCATTCTTTTTGCCTGCTGCCAACCACGTAAGATGTGACTTTCTCCTCCTTGCTTTCCGCCATGATTGTGAGGCTTCCCCAGCCATATGGAACTGTAAAGTCCATTATAAACCTCTTCTTTTGTAAATTGCCCAGTCTCAGGTATGTCTTTATCAGCAGTGTGAAAATGAACTAATACAGTAAATTGGTAACAGTAGAGTGGGTTGTTGCTGAAAAGATACCTGAAAATGTGGGAACGACTTTGGAACTGGGTAACAGGCAGAGGTTGGAACAGTTTAGAGGGCTCAGAAGAATACAGGAAAATGTGGGAAAGTGTGGAACTCCCTAGAGACTTGTTGAATGGCTTTGCCCAAAATGCTGATAATGATATGGACAATGAAATCCAGGCTGAGGTGGTCTCAGATGGAGATGGGGAACTTATTGGGAACTGGAGTAAAGGTGAATCTTGTTATGTTTTAGCAAAAAGACTGGTGGCATTTTGCCCCTAACCTAGAGATTTGTGGAACTTCGAACTTGAGAGAGACGATTTAGGGTATCTGGTGGAAGAAATTTCTAAGCAGCAAAACATTCAGGAGGTGACTCAAGTACTGCTAAAGGCATTCAGTTTTTAAATGAAAATAGTGCATAAAAGTTGGGAAAATTTGCAGCCTGACAATGCAATAGAAAAGAAAATCTCATTTTCTGAGAAGAAATTCAAGCTGGCTGCAGAAATTTGCATAAGTAATGAGAAGCTGAATATTAATCCCCAAGACAATAGGGAAAATGTCTCCAGGGCATGTCAGAGGTCTTCTTGGCAGCCCCTCCCATCTCAGGCCTGGAGGCCTAGGAGGAAAAAGTGGGTTCATGGGCTGGGCCCAGGGTCCCTGAGCTGTGTGCAGCCTAGGGACTTGGTGCTTTGTGTCCCAGCCGCTCTAGCCATGGCTGAAAGGAGCCAACATAGAGCTCAGGCCGTGGCTTCAGATGGTGCAAGCCCCAAGCCTTGGCAGCTTCCACATAGTGTTAAGCCTGTGGGTGCACAAAAGTCAAGACTTGAGGTTTGGGAACCTCCACCTAGATTTTAGAAGATGTATGGAAATGCCTGGATGCCCAGGCAGAAGTTTGCTGCAGCAGCAGGGATCTCATGGAGAACCTCTGCTAGGGCAGTGCAGAAGGGAAATGTGAGGTCAGAGCCCCTACACAGAGTCCCTACTGGGGCACCACATAGTGGAGCTGTGAGAAGAGGGCCACCATCCCCCAGACCCCGGAATGGTAGATCCACCAACAGCTCGCATTGTGCCCCTGGAAAAGCTGCAGACACTCAACACCAGGCCATGAAAGCAGCCAGGAGGGAGGCTGTACCCTGCAGAGCCACAGGGGCAGAGCTGCCCAAGACTGTGGGAACCTACCTCTTGCATCAGTATGACCTGGATGTGAGACACGGAGTCAAAGGAGATCATCTTGGAGCTTTAAGATTTGACCACCCCACTGGATTTCAGACTTGCATGGGCCCTGTGGCCCCTTTGTTTTGTCAAATTTCTCTCATTTGTAATGGTTGTATCTACCCAATGTCTGTATCCCCATTGTATCTAGGAAATAATTAGCTTGCTTTTGATTTTACAGGCTTATAGGCAGAAGGGACTTGCCTTGTCTTAGATGAGACTTTGGACTGTGGACTTTTGAGTTAATGTTGGAATGAGTTAAGACTTTTGGAGGAACGGTTGGGAAGGCATGATTGGTTGTAAAATGTGAAAACATGAGATTTGGCAGGGGCCAGGGGTGGAATGACATGGTTTGGCTGTGCCCCCACCCAAATCTCATCTTGAATTGTACTCCCATAATTCCCATGTGTTGTGGGAGGGACCTGATGGGAGATATCTGAATCATGGAGGTGGTTTCCCCCATACGTTCTAATAGCAGTGAATAAGTCTCACAAAATCCGATGGGTTTTTTAAGGGATTTCCACTTTTGTGTCTTCCTCATTCTCTCTTTTTTTATTTTATTATTATTATACTTTAAGTTTTAGGGTACATGTGCACAATGTGCAGGTTAGTTACATATGTATACATGTGCCATGCTGGTGTGCTGCACCCATTAACTCGTCATCTAGCATTAGGTATATCTCCTAATGATAGCCCTCCTCCCTTCCCCCACCCCACAACAGTCCCCAGAGTGTGATGTTCCCCTTCCTGTGTCCGTGTGTTCTCATTGTTCAATTCCCACCTATGAGTGAGAACATGCAGTGTTTGGTTTTTTGTCCTTGCGATAGTTTACTGAGAATGATGATTTCCAATTTCATCCATGTCCCTAAAAAGGACATGAACTCATCCTTTTTTATGGCTGCATAGTATTCCATGCTGTATATGTGCAACATTTTCTTAATCTGGTCTATCATTGTTGGACATTTAGGTTGGTTCCAAGTCTTTGCTATTGTGAATAGTGCCGCAATAAACATACATGTGCATGTGTCTTTATGCAGCATGATTTATAGTCCTTTGGGTATATACCCAGTAATGGGATGGCTGGGTCAAATGGTATTTCTAGTTCTAGATCCCTGAGGAATCACCACACTGACTTCCACAAGGGTTGAACTAGTTTACAGTCCCACCAACAGTGTAAAAGTGTTCCTATTTCTCCACATCCTCTCCAGCACCTGTTGTTTCCTGACTTTTTAATGATTGCCATTCTAACTGGTGTGAGATGGTATCTCATTGTGGTTTTGATTTGCATTTCTCTGATAGCCAGTGATGATGAGCACTTTTTCATGTGTTTTTTGGCTGCATAAATGTCTTCTTTTGAGAAGTGTCTGTTCATGTCCTTTGCCCACTTTTTGATGGGATTCTTTGTTTTTTTCTTGTAAATGTGTTTGACTTAATTGTAGATTCTGGATATTAGCCCTTTGTCAGATGAGTAGGGTGCAAAAATATTCTCCCATTTTGTAGGTTGCCTGCTCACTCTGATGGTAGTTTCTTTTGCTGTGCAGAAGCTCTTTAGTTTAATTAGATCCCATGTGTCAATTTTGGCTTTTGTTGCCATTGCTTTTGGTGTTTTAGACATGAAGTCCTTGCCCATGCCTATGTCCTGAATGGTAATGCCTAGGTTTTCTTCTAGGGTTTTTATGGTTTGAGGTCTAACGTTTAAGTCTTTAATCCATCTTGAATTGATTTTTGTATAAGGTGTAAGGAAGGAATCCAGTTTCAGCTTTCTACATATGGCTAGCCAGTTTTCCCAGCACCATTTATTAAATAGGGAATCCTTTCCCCATTGCTTGTTTTTCTCAGGTTTGTCAAAGATCAGATAGTTGTAGATATGTGGTGTTATTTCTGAGGGCTCTGTTCTGTTCCATTGATCTATATCTCTGTTTTGGTACCAGTACCATGCTGTTTTGGTTACTGTAGCCTTGTAGTATAGTTTGAAGTCAGGTAGCGTGATGCCTCCAGCTTTGTTCTTTTGGCTTAGGATTGACTTGGCGATGCGGGCTCTTTTTTGGTTCCATATGAACTTTAAAGTAGTTTTTTCCAATTCTGTGAAGAAAGTCATTGGTAGCTTGATGGGGATGGCATTGAATCTATAAATTACCTTGGGAAGTATGGCCATTTTCACGATATTGATTTTTCCTACCCATGAGCATGGAATGTTCTTCCATTTGTTTGTATCCTCTTTTATTTCATTGAGCAGTGGTTTGTAGTTCTCCTTGAAGAGGTCCTTCACGTCCCTTGTAAGTTGGATTCCTAGGTATTTTATTCTCTTTGAAGCAATTGTGAATGGGAGTTCACTCATGATTTGGCTCTCTGTTTGACTGTTATTGGTGTATAAGAATGCTTGTGATTTTTGTACATTGATTTTGTATCCTGAGACTTTGCTGAAATTGCTTATCAGCTTAAGGAGATTTTGGGCTGAGACAATGGGGTTTTCTAGATATATAATCATGTCATCTGCAGTGTCTTCCTCATTCTCTTTTTGCCTGCTGCCATCCATGTAAGACATGACCTGCTCCTCCTTGCCTTCCACCATGATTGTGAAGCTTCCCCAGCCACGTGGAATGGTAAGTCCATTATAAGCCTCTTTCGTTTGTAAATCGCCCAGTCTCAGGTATTTCTTTAACAGCAGCATGAAAATGGACTAATGCATCATGTAATATTTATCTTTCTGTGCCTGGCTTATTCAACTTAACATAATGTCCTCTAGGTCTATCTATGTTGCTGTAAATGATAGGATTTCATTCTTTTTAAATGGCTGAATAGTATTCCATTGTGTATATAAACCACATTTTATTTATTCATTGATCTGCTGATGGGCACTTAGTTTGATTCTCTATGTTGGCTATTGTGAATAGTGCTGCAATAATAATGGGAGTGCAAATATCTCTACAACATACTGATTTTGTTGTCTTTAGATAAATACAGGCATACCCCAGAGATATTGTGGGTGCAATTTCAGACCACCATAATGAAGCAAATATTGCAATAAAGTGAGTCACAAAAATGTTTTGGTTTCCCAGTGCATATAAAGGTAATGTTTACACTGCACTGTACTCTATTAAATGTGTAATAGCATTATGTCTAAAAAATGTACATGCCTTAATTTAAAATACTTTATTGCTGGAAAATACTAATGATCATCCAAGCCTTAAGCAAGTCATAATCTTTTTGCTGGTGAAGGGTCTTGGCTTGATGTTGATGGCTGCTGACTAATCAGAATAGTGATTGCTGAAGGTTGGGTTGGCTTTTATAGCATGTACATTTTTATATACCATTTCTTAAAATAAGACAACAATAAAAGTGTGCCACGTCACACTTTCACAAAAGATTTCTCTTTAGAAATGTGATGCTGTTTGGTAGCACTTTACCACAGTGCAACTTCTTTCAAGACTGGAGTCAATCTTCTCAAATGCTGATGCCACTTTATCAAGTTAGTTGATGTAGTATTCTAAGTCCTTTGCTGTCATTTTAACAATGTTCAAAGCATCTTCCCCAGCGTTAGATTTCATCTCAATAAACCATTTTCTTCGCTCATCCATCAGAAGCAACTCCTCATCTGTTCAAGTTTTATTGTGAGATTGCAGCAACTCAGTCACATTTTTAGGCTTCACTTCTAACTCTAGTTCTCTTGCTATTTTCACCATCTCTGCAGTGACTTCCTCCACTGAAGTCTCGAACACGTCAAAGTCATCCCTGATGGTTGAAATCAACTTCTTCTATACTCCTGTCAATTATATTTTAAACTTATTTCATGATTCATGAATGTTTTAACAGCATCTAGAAATGGTAGAATCCTTTTTAGAAGGTATTCAATTTACTTTGCTCAGCCCTAAGAGAAATCATTATCTGTGGCAGCTATAGCCTTATGAAATTTTTTTTCATTTATAATGGAAATAGGTCTATTTGGCTTACAGTTCTACAGACTGTTAAAAAAAAAAAAAAAAAAAAAAAGCATAGTGCCAGCATCTGTTTCTGGTGAGGGCCTCAATAAGCTTCCACTCACAGCAGAAGGCAAAGGGGGAGCAGGTATATCACATGGTAAGAAAGGGGGCAAGAGAGAGGTGGGAGTGCCAGGCTTTTTAAAAAAAACCAAATCACATGTGAACTCATTACCATGGGCAGGGCACCAAGCCATTCATGAGGGATCTGCCCCCATGACCCAAAACTTCTCACCAGGCCCCATGTCCAACATTGAGGATTACCTTTCAACATGAGATTTTGAGGGAACAAACATCCAAACTGTATTATTCCACTCCTGGATCCCAGAAGCTCATGCTCTTCTCACATGGCAAAATGCAATTGTACCTTCCCAATAGTCTCCCAGTTTTAACCATCTCCAAGATGGTTTAAAAAGCATTTAAACCAGTTTCCAACAAGTGAGCTTTTAAAGACAAAGTACTTACCAAGTATCAAGCACTGACAAATCTCAGTCCCTGGATGTGCACTAATTATAATTCGACTTAGAATTTTATTATTGACACACACTTAACTCTCAGGGACAAAACTGCAGTTAGTTTGCTTGCAACAAGCCTTGTCTCAAAGATTAATGACTCAGCAGTGGTAACTGCTGGACCTCAGCTTAAATAGATTTTAAAATAACCATCCCATTATCTAAAGAAATACATACCAGGCAGTAGATTTGTTTAGTCAGTGATGTTAGGGCAGGAGAAAATGTGTGTGTGTGTGTGTGCACATGTGTGCGCATGTGTGTACATATGAGCTTGGAGATGAAAATATTAGGTTTTTGTATTTATAAATATCCAAACTACAAAGAATTATTCTAAAAGAAATGAGAGTACTCTCCCAACAATCTTATTAATAAGATATTGGTCAACGGCAGAGTTATTTCCCTATTAATGCCTCTGTTGGTTTTCTGAGTATTTCTGTTTTCTTTGCATCTCACTAGCATCCAAATGTCATTTTTGCTCCTTCAACCCTCAAACAAACTGAAAAGGAGTCTAAGAAACTGCTGATCTAAGCGTGAACTAAAATATGCCCACTTGCAGATCACTTCCTGTGTGGGTAAAGGAATGGAGTAGAAGGGACTCAGTGCTGGGCTGCCCTGAGTGTGGATGTTTCTAATACCTGTGGGATCCCTAGCTTTCAGCAACTCCAAACTTAAGCCCCATGAACACAGGATGGGAGAGCTGTATACCTTGTATGGGGAGAAGGATAAAGGGAAAACTTTCCCCACAATTGAAGTAGAAGTGAACATAACAGTTGGAATTTCCTTAGGAGCTTGTGTGGTAGCACAAACAGTACCATTGTCACATGAATTTCTTAGCAGTCAGAAGAGTGTCTCTTAGGTGGTTTATCAAAAGAACGCATGAAGGAAGAGGCTTTAAAGCATTCACCTATACATGGAATAACCATTGATTCTTACCTCTCCAAAGCAGATTACATTACTCACTACTAGCAATAGGCCCTGATTTGAAATCTGCAGGCACTAAAAATTGAAGGAGTCCCACTTAGGACCAGCATACGTTCTGCAGTATGCTAACTAACGCTTTGGGAACGAGTGAAATACACAGCTACGGAATTGATACTGGGATGCAATTCTAGCAGACTAGTGACCGGAAGAAATGTGATGAGGTCCATCAGTGGCCATACCTGGATCACATGGCTGCTGGAAGCAGTGACGGGAAGAGCACTGGATTCAAGATCTGGTTCTACCCCTTGCACTGTGGTTTTGGGAAAATTGCCTAATAATCTTGAGCCGCAGTCACCTCCTCCACAGAACAAGGTTAATAATAATGACTACCATTTACTGAACTATATACAAAACACTGTTCTGAGAATTTTTTCATTCTTTTATTCTTACAATAGCCCTAGGAAGTAGATACTATGATTATTCTCATCTTGGAGAAAAGGAAATGGCACAGAAGGGTAACTGGAGACTAGGCAAGGAAACAAATGAACTCAATAGAGCCCCAGCCATCAACTCATGTCAGGCTTGTGGTAAGTCTGACATGGAAACAAACAGGAGAGGAATGTTACATTAACTCTATCTAGAATAAGACATGTCTTTCCTAAATTAATCAAACAAAGATTATTTGCTTCAGATGACTTCTAGGGTAATAGATAAATACACAGGCTATGGAACCATGGTAGATTGTTGGCTGAGTCAAATCCACCTCCTTCACTTACTGAGTTACACAGAAATTAAATGGATTATATAATTTCCTCATTTGTAGAGAGTAGGGGTAATAATAATGCTGGCTACTATACAGATTTGTTAGAATTAAATGTATAAAGGTAAATCATTTAAGGCATACTTGGTGAATGTTATACACTAAGTTTATTGTGACTAATTGTTCAGTGCTGACTTGAGTGTTGTGGGAGACACATAAATGTGGTGGATAGCCCCTTGCACAGGAGACAAGCCAAGGTAATATATCCAAGATAACATAGCATGAAGAGCTTGGAATGTGGTATAAGTGGTAGGCTGGGGAATTGATGCTGCTGGCAGGAAGCCATCACTGAGAAGATTCCTGGGTGAATGTGGATAGAGAAACGGAGGCCATTAAAGAGGTAGTGGCAGCAAAGAACTGCTGGGAGGAGCTGGCAGATGGCATCCATACAGAGGGGACAGGTCATGGGAGCAGGCTTGCTTTGTAGGCTGTCTGCAAGACAAAATTAAATTGGACACATATTCTTTTGAGAAAGGATAGATCTTTGAAAGTTCTCAGAAAGTGTAGTTCTTAGAATTTGCTTTATAAGGAACATAAAAAAAAAAAAGTTGTGCCCTGTGCCTGTTTTTAAGTCACTTTTCCAACCATCTCCTCCCCTAGTAATTCTGACTGATGAATTCAATCATCCTGATGCATTCTATTAGGAAAAGAATTATAATAGCCTTTTTTGTGTTGAGCTTTGTGGAAATTTCAGAATAACTCCAGCTTAATAACTCCATATTTTCATCTTAAAAGCTAAAAGAGATGTTCTTGAACACCACCTGTTCAGAGTCCAGCTGTGGCTTTGTAGTAGAAACAGGTGCCTCTACAAATCCTTCCGTATTTGCAAAGACAAAGTTGCACATTAACCAATTCTCAGATGTTTTAGCACTTCTTAGATTTGGGGGACTCAGCAAAGTGAAATTTTACAAGCTGATTCACATACAATAGCCATCTGAATGGCTAGCTTCCCTTACCAAATCATGAACTGGCTTCTCTCTCCACCTGATTCAATTAACTGCTAAGAAAATCAAAGACCAAATCACTGTAAGATACATTATTCTTGCAGTTCCACTTGTCTCACTGCTCATGACTCATGCACCAATTAAAAATCTCCTGGGAGAATCTTTGTTAATCACCTCAAGTCAGTGTGAAGGAGATGCAACATGCTTGCTGGCCTGTTCAAACACCAGTCACTCAGAGGCTCCTACAGGAAAGGTAATAATGCTCTGTGTTTAAGATTTATCTTGAAGAATAGTAACAATTATTAAGTGGATAAAAGATAAATAATTTTCTAAAAACTGAAACAAGGCCTTCTCATCAGTCTGTTTGGAATAGCTATACTGTAGTTTTTATTAATTAGGGGAAAGTTACAGGTGAACTTCTCTGGATCACTTTCATTCTCTCTGTGTGTGTGTGTGTGTGTGTGTGTGTGAACAAGTGCAAGGCAATGGTTCCCAAACTTTAGTGTGCATCATTGCTTGTTTAAATGCCCATCACTGAGCTTCATCCCGAGTTTCTGATTCTGCATGTCTAGGGGCAGGGTGGGGGGACCCGAGAATCTGCCTGTCTGACAAGTTCCCAGGTAATGAATGCTGAGGCTACTGGGAACCACATTTTTAGAACCAGGGGTCTAGGGAAGTCTAATACAACAAGGCAAGTGTCAACTTACACAGCCTGCAAATGTTTAAAAAAAAAAAAAAGGAATTGAGGCAAGTTTTGCTTCTTTTTAAACCACTAATATTTTAGCTTCAAATGCCAATGCACATCTCAACAATCACTGAGTAATTAATCTTCTTTCAACAATATTGAAAAGTCAATATTATATGTTCGATCCAGGACAGAGAGCTTTGGAGTGTAAGGAGTATATATGTGACAGTGCTGCCCCAAAGGAACTCACCAACTCTTTCAGTTTAGGCAAAAATTCTAGTTCAAAGGGCCTGAGTACTTGCATTTCATCCATCTTAGCTGAGATTCTGTGCCAGGTGCTGTCAAGGATGCACAGCAGAACACACAGATGAAGTTCTGGGTCTCTCTTCTCTACAGACTCTCTTCTTCCCCTCAACTAGTAGGCCAGCAGGAGTGATTAGTTCATTTGGATGCAGTTTAAAATTATAATTCAAGTGCCTGGAGGTACAGCCTGGCCCACACTGTCCACTTCTCAAAACATTGGTCACTTGTTATTGAATAACATTTGCTGCTTTACTTGTGTGTTTCTTGCTTGAAGACATCTACGTTTGCAGCTCCTCCTCCACCTCTTGTGCCTTTCTCCCTCCCTTTTATAGGCCAAACGCTACCCTTTCTGATCCTCAAACATGCTCTTCCCTCAGCCTCCTCACTCAACTCCTACTCATCTTGTCTCCACTTGAATGTCTTCCTCATGGGAGTCTTTTCTTGAACCCTACCCCAGCATTTTCCTTTGGAATACTCACCAATATGTAATGAAAGGTTTGTCTTACATCTATTTATCCTGCTAGATTTCAGCTCCTTGAGGGCACACGTCATCTGTCCTGTCCACTAGAGCATTCTTAATGCTTAGCCAGTGCCTGATGGAGGAAGACACTCTGAGACAACATGACCCTGGAACTCACTCAGTCCCCCAGATGACAAGCTGCACCAGAGTGTATCTTCCGACAAGAGTGATGGCTTCCCAGTTAAAGGAGTTACAATGTCCAAAGGTCCTGGTAGGTCCCTAGGTGGCAAGATGTTCTTATATTTGCTCTAGAAAACTGTCCCTCCAGCACAGTATCCTGGTCCTGTCTCACCTTTCATGGAAACAATGGCAAGGGGATGGGGGAGTAGTGCCTTTTTAAATTTTTTTACTTTCCTATGCCTGTAAGTTTTCTGCCTCCTAAAGAAATCTTGGCTTTACGTTATATTCTGATGACTCCCACATTGACATCTATAGCTCTGACCTCTTCTCTGAACTCCAGACTTGCATGCCGCTACCCTCTCCTACACATCCAATAATTTATCTCCAAGTATCTCAAACTTCCCTGTCCAAAACTGTTTTCTTGATCTTGTTCACAAACCCAGTCTTCCCAAAGACTTCTACTTCCTCCAGAAAGTCTTTAAGCACACTCTTTCCTCAAATACCAATCATTTTGTTTCTACCTTCAACATATGTCCAGCGTCTGACCACCCCTCACCATATCCCGCAATGCTACTGCAATCCTAGCCTCGCATGGTTTACCAAATTAGTTTCCTAGCTTGTTTCCTTGCTTTGCTTTTTGTCCCTCTCTAGCTCTTTCTCAAATACACAGAGTGGTTTTGGTAAACCCTAAGTCACAAATCAGGTCATCACTTGGTTCACAGCCCCTCAAATGCTTCCATCTGAAGGTGAAATCCAAAGTCCTTCCCCGTATGTGTCCCCTCCTGCCACATCCTCTCTGCTTTTACTTTCTTCTGCTTACTATGCCATCCACACTGCCCTCCTTGCTGTTCTCTGACAGCAGCCTCCACCCTGGGGCCTTTGCACTTGACATTCTCTCAGCCTGCTACACTCACTCAGACATCTGCATGGCAAGCCTCTTCCCTTCCTCTCAAGGGAGGCCTTCTGCCACCATCCTTGTTTAAGTTATACTACCATTGTGACCACCACCACTCCCTATTGATTTTTCTCCACAACATCTCTCCTTGGGAAGGATAAGTTTCATGGAAAGGATAGCATCTTGCTTGGGTGCTTAAAGGTGGGATTGTGATTAGGAAAGCAGGGATAACAGAAGTAAGGTAAGGCAGATAGCAGGTAGCCAGCAAAAATGGTCTCCCAGTGGTTACCTGATGGTGTCACTACACTTTAGCGTAGGCTCTAGTACTGAGTGGTGTCAAAATGGACACCCTGACTACAAAGTCCTTTCTTTTTGGGCAAAGATTAGCATGCTTGCTATTTGGTGTAGCTGGATTAAAATGCCCACATTGTGGAAATGCCTTTTCTTTAAAGCAGAAATCCTTTTGGTACCTAGGACTGGGAAGGAACAGAGTAAAACAAAAACTACTGATGAAGAAAATCCCTTTCCTGGATGGAAAGGCTTAGCTCAGTGTGAAAAAATACCTACAGGGCAAATTTGGAAATCCTCACCAGGGCCAGGTCTTCTCAGTCTTGGGATCAAAAAGTGATGTCTAAATTAACTTATAAAAATGGTTATCAAAAACACCAAAAAGAGTTCTATATTAATCATATCAATAAAGTACTAAAATTCCAGAGGGATCCTTCTAAGTGAACGAGAATATTTAGCTGTGGTTTTGTTTTCATATTGAAAAAATGATCTAAGTATACTTAGCAATATTCAAAAAGGATATGTCAATCAAGAAAAGCACATCAAAGCAAATGAATTATTTTTCTCCATTCATTTTGAAACAGCTAACAGTTCTCTTGTATAAATCTAACAGTTTTGTCCTTGTGAGAGCTGTGCTGCTTAAACTTTTTCATAGCCTTTACAAAGCTGTGGATGATAGGAATTGAGCAAATATTTTCCACAATAAGAAAAAATCTGTAGAAAGCTGCACCAGTCTTAACATTTACAAAGATTATACCAGACTATTAATAATTCTCATCATTAATCATTGTCAGAAGCTAAATATCATTTTGTTAACCACTAATCCGAATCAAAATTATTCCAAAAAGAAATATATATATAATATATATATATGTATATATATGGAAATCCCCCCCACCCTGTACTTCTATGTGCTTTGAGCACAACTTGTATTCATCAATTCATCTTCAGATCTAGTTTTTTATTACAAAAGACAACTATGCTTACAAGGTGAATTGAATTACAAGCCTTTTACTACTTTTTGGTGAGTTAAGAAAAAGCTATTTAATCTAACAAAGTTTCACTTTAGCACTCAGCTAAATAGAAATTTCGAAATTTTATTTAAAGATATGATAAAATACCATATGGCCCTGGTTTCAAGAGAAATTCATTTAATAAGTTGTGTAAATGAGTTTATTAGTTAAAGTGAACTTACAAAATCTCTGTTGGTTTTATAAACCAAAGCAAACTAGTTCATTTGAATTGCTATGTGCCCCCCTAGCATTTTTAAATGCAAGACAATGTATTTGTAGAAATGATCATTCTTTCTCAGGGAATGCTAATTTACCATGCTCCCATGGTAAATTCTACAGGAAACTTTCATGGAAAATGTCAAAGTTAAGGAAAGTTTAGACTCAAAAATAATAAATTTTTGGTAATGATAGTTTTTGGAACACGTATAATTCCATTTACATTCTCAGCTTTTCAATTGTATTTATCTGAAAATTAGTTTCATAAAATGTTACATGGTTATAACTCAATATTACTGTATAAAGTATTTGAGAAATGTCTGGTAACTCTCTTGTGATTAGGTAACTTCATGACTCAAACCTCCTGTTACTGTTTTGATGCTAGCTAGCACTTATTAAGCTACCTTTTAATGAAAAAAAAAAAAAAAAAAAACCTTTTTCAAAAAGCATTAAAAAGATCCACCATTTCATTTTGAAGATGGAGAAAGCAAAGTAAGGGTAGGTTAAAAGGTCTGTCAGATTGCATGGTCGAGTCTCTAACAAGATAAGTAATTCTTTTGTATCAATTCCTATTACCTTGGAAAACACTGGGCTCTACCAGGCAGGTGATTCCTGTTCATATTATCTAGGGCCAACTAAAGTAGAAATTAAAGGAAACCAACTATAAAATCCATGTAGAAGAGAAAAATAAGCAGCTCTTCATCAACTGCAAATTTTAAAAGATTGATTAGCTCTTTATGTGCCCAGCTAAATATGCCATTTAAACTCAAGGACCAAGCTTATCTCATGTTTGTTTTCTTCAAGTGGCTGCATATAAATAATGGCTACAGGCAGAATCTACTTCACAAGTATATAATCTAGCCACAACCAAATCATAATGGCACCAAACTCATACCTTTTTACAAGAGGAAAGTTTTAAATTGACAGTAAATGAACTCCGACATGAGAGGATGAAAAGAAAACACTCAGCATACAGACACACACAAACATATTCTGAAAGTGCTTCACATTACACTGTGCATTTACAGACATCGCAGGGACTGATGGACACAGAGTAGCAATTGTTTCCTTATCACCTCCATGCTTGATCACATGCCATTCTGTGCCATCCATTTTATCACCTTAGGTCCCAGAAGACTCATAAGACCCAAGGCCTGTTTCTCACATGATTCCTTAGGATTCTGTGAGCTGTTGATGTTACAGGTCATGCATGGCAATCATTGGACCAATGCCACACAAGCTTAGATGTCCTCCACTCTCCAGTCAGAAAGAACACACACAAAATTCCTTATCAGACAGTTGGCAAGAGTACATGGAAAATGGATTTTTATGTCACATACATTAGGAGAAGATCCCTGGCTTCAGGGCAAAGTTTAGAGGAACAGCACATACTTACTGAAGACTAAGTGGATTCCAGAGTTCATCATTGGCTAGACTGATACTATTTTACATTTGTGTTATAAAAGGTGGATATTTAAGAAGAGTGAACATATGACCGTACATTTATGAGTGACTAGCAGACAACTGTTTCCTGAGTCAGTCAACCTGGGTTTTACTGTCCTAAGACAAAATCTGAATTTAAAGAGACCAAAACTTTCAACAAAAAAACCACATATTTTTATAAAGAAAGATAAAAGAAAGTCTCATAATCATGATTCTGTATGCTACTCAGGCATTGAAAAGGTACCCTCAATGAAATTACTTTTCACCATTGGTTTCAGGATATAAAACAATTAAAATTAGAACACACTAAAAGCTGCACTATAGTTCATGACATCTGCATGCCACACAAAAAATCAAAATGTAGTCTCACATAGGCTGATCATACTAGAGTATATTTATTAAATTTCACCATTATGATCACTTTGTTATAACTAAATTAACCCTGACATAAACTTTGACATTTTAAAAACAGAGAACATACTGATTTTTCAACTATTTTACTTACATGTGTTTTTTAATTCTCATGCAGTGCTCATAATTAGGAGATACTACATATTCACCCTCACATTATGCTTATTAAGAACCAAGCTCAGAGGGTAGAAAAGTGCCAACTTCATTTTCCATAAACTTCCCATACATATATTAAGCCACTGTTCTTCTAATTATATACTTATGGTACATTCTTCTGTAAAATGTATAACTGTAGTCACATAACCATTGTTATGACAAGGCGGCAACATCATTTCAGATTACAACAAATGAGACCAAAAGTTGAAGAGACCACAGCATATAAAAGTCATGAGAACACCACACACATTTCAATATTTTCCACTTTCCAGTCAAAAAAACATGCACAAAGTTTTCTTAGCAGATAGTTGTCAGAAGTGCATAAAAAAACTGGCTTTCAGGTCATATATGTTGAGTGAGGATCAATGCCATTGAGGAAAGAGAGCTGTGTTCATTATCTTTTAGGTCTGTCTATATCATCTATAGCTGCTAGAAGTTTTTGTCTTGCTTTCTTATTGATATGGGATCCCAGGCAAACATTCACCAGATTGGTCAGCTGCTTCGTTGAATATTCCTGCTCAAAGAAGAAAGATCCAAATTTAGTACCCTAAAAGGAATGTATCTGATCAGTGCAACAAAAGAACAGGCGGATATTCAGGTGCAGTGGATAGTTACTGAGCATTATAAACCAGTGAAAAACAGTGGAAATTACAGTTGGGACATGGAAGGCAAATTGTTTACTGAGCTGTAATAGGAGAGAATAAGAATACTATAGTACACATTTGAAACAGTAAGCACTAGAATCTGTTTTAATATGGCAAAGCAATCTGACATGCGTATGCTTCTTACTGCTTTGATGATCACACACTTTACACTTGTTTCTGTAATAGTCTTTGTTATTGAGTCATCAAAATACACTGACATTTCAAATTTTTTAAATGCTACTGATGAAGTATTTTTCTGGCCCTCTACATTTTGTAAACACTTTAGTTAAAAAAAAAATCTCCAACAACAGAAGAACAACTCTTCTAAGATACAACAAATGAATAAGGTAACAAGGATCACAAAGTCAGGGAGCTGCAAATAAAATTAAGACTACGAGTATCTTTCGCAATCCAAATCCATCTGGTTCCTGAATTTTAGATACTGAATTGCTAGGATGAGAATAAACAGGGATTCATCAGAAATTTCTGCAGATTGACTTGGTACTGGAGGTTGAATAGCAAGAGTTCAGATAGGGAAAGACAGCTGTGTACTATTATCTAATAAGAAAAGAAAATGTGTCTTTATTGAAGGTAACCACTAAATATAGTACAATTTCAAAATAGGAGAAAGAATTGATTTTAAAAACTTGGCAAACTGCTCAGCTTGTGTATCTGATCTCTGAGAGCACCTGTCCCCGCCTGGTAAGTAATCTCATTTAACCACTCAGCATTCAGTGAGGATCCATCGTCAGTGATCGCTGGACTCATCATTGTGGGAAGTTTCCTTCAAAGACAGAAAAGAGTCCCTGCTGCTGCTGGGGAAATGTCACTGAATTACAAATATCAATCAGTTAAAGCTCTTTCAAAGTACTAAGTTAAAAAAAAATCAGTCTACTATATTAAAAGAGGAAATTCAAAAAACGGGCATCATTCTTGCATCGAATAGAGCTGTGCCTTTCCTCCTTGGCTACTTTGTATTCTTTCCCAAAACCCTTTCCTCAGTACCAACCCAGAAGTGTTTACAGCTTACTTTACTAAATGGATTCTAGCAACATTAAGCAGTCTATCTGCATCTAGGTTTAACATTTTGGTTATCAAATGTCAGTGGGGCTAAACGTGGTGAAGTTTTTCTCAATCTGGCTTTACTGGTCGAACTCATTAAAAATAACACATACATTCCTACTTTGCTTCTAAAGATCCGAAACTGAGTAAGAGTGGGGACATTCACACAAGATTCACGCCAATGTGAATGTTCTAGGCTAATGCATTTTATCTCTTTACAGTGTTAAGGCCAGAAAGGATGAGTCTGAGCAGGTATATACAAATAATTATTTTCTTACCCAAATGAAATAAAACTTGACTTAGCTTTTACCCATGACATTCATAGGTTAAGAAAATGTAAATCCTAGAGTTATCAAAGCAATGAGGATTTGGTGATAATTTTAACACATGCCATATACAGAAAAGCTTCCCATACCAAGCTCACTGAGTTGAACTGTGTCAAAAATTCGGCATCCTACGTAACAATAGTATTTTTCGTTATCTATATAGTCATACAAAAGAAAAATAATCAAATCTATATTAAAGGTAAAATCTAATGTAAGATGTAAGTTAAGTTTAGCCATTTAAATATTAATGTCTTCACTCATCACTAATACGTGTCAGTGTGTAGGATGTTACCATTTCATCGTTGAGGAGTACGAGAAGGTTTGTATGAGAAGGTTTAAGTTACATAATCGATTATGGCTTATGAATCATTTCATTGTTTCTGTATTCAATCTGTCTCAGTATTTATCAACTTCAGCCTTTTCCTATAACACAGTTGCAGGAAAAATATAGCTAATGTCTTGGCTTTGGCTGTATTTCTAGATCATTACAGTAACAGTTCACAAAGGGCTGAAAAAGATTTGATGAGTCAAAGGGCACTGCTTAGATACGGTGCCCTTAATCTGAATAAGGCAAAGAATTGACCTAAGTAGTTTGTATTAAAAAAGCAAATGTTTCTTTATATTTCACTCTCATGATTTTGAATTAAATAACACACCCAACAAGAACAGCACAAAGAAAAAGGAATAAAAACTTAATTAACTATTTTCCAGCTCTCACCCTGTGCTCTTTGATCCACCGTTCCATGTCATTCTCAGTTAGGTAATAAGCTTTAATATAAGTTTCTACAAATTCTTTATCAGGAATGGGTCTAATATCTGTTAGTTTTTCAAGTTTCATTAAAAACTGTTGAAAATCCAATTGCATCAGGGCACGACCCTCATTACTGCATTTCTTGACATTGGCATATCTAAGATGCAAAACAATAAAAAAAAATACATTATAGGATAATTAGAAACAAAAAACTGTCAGGTATTTGAAGTTTTCTCTAACCTATATTTGGACAGATTCCCCAGAAATGAGAGGGTTATAGGAAATAGAGAACATAAGCCTTGAGTCAGAAAGACTGGGTTGTGTTTGTGCTCTGTCATTTTACCTATGCGGGCCTCAGTTTTCTCATTTGCAAAGAGATCCAATGAGTTCAAGTCTCTTTGTTGTTCTACAGACCACGGATCTCTGTATTCAATCAACATAATTGTCTGTAAGAAAGTTAAACTGGTATTCCAGTTAATCTGGCTGCCAAGAGTTACTTTATAAAAACTAAGCTTTGAATACTTCAAAGTAATCTTAGTTTTATAAAACTGTTCAATATTCAATGCAATGCAAAAGAAACAAATGAAATAATTCTCCCATGAACACTCTGAAAACATAAAGAAATGTGTAAGCATGTAAGCATAGAAAGTATATATATATTTTTCATGATAAAAAGCTTATAGACCTATTCTGATATTCTACACTACTGAAACAGTGTGTTTTAAGGTGGACTAAGTAATAAAGACAAATATACAAACCCTAACAATACAACACTTTATTGCTCATTAAGTCAATGTTTCATTTCTTCAATCAATCATACAGAACATGGAAAATTCAACTGTGGGAATGAGGTACTTACCTTAAGGAAAGTTGCAAGAAAATAAAAGCTTATTTTATTTAAAATGACCAAGCTTTTTTTTTTTTTTTTAAAAAAGAGTATTTTATACAGAAGTATTACATATATTATTCACATTTCGACTTAAACAAATTTATTTAAAATACTCTTCATTCGTGATTGCTGACACAGCCTTTTTATAATTTATAGCACTGCTGGTTTCAATACAGAGTGCCACGACTGTTGTCAGCTTGTCACTGTCATCTTCCCACTTTCTAATACATTATTTTGTATAACAAATGAGAACAAAAGAAAAATCAGACAAATGATAGTGTGAATATTCAACTGATGTGCAATTCTAGAGCACTGTACAGGGTCTTTGAAATAGCTGTTCGCTTCTCAGGGATATTTCAGATGTATTACTGATCCTTATTTGTATCCTAGATGTTATGGGCAGAGTAAGCATGGTCTCTGAGTAAGTGGGAAAATTACTATTAATAGATCCATAACTTCAACACATGAAAGATTTATAGAGTTTACAGTGATATGATGGTGATTATTATTAATGATGATATAAGGGTTACGAGGGCTGATTTTACCACCAGAAATCAGGAGTATAACCAGGCATGGTGGCTCACGCCTGTAATCCCAGTACTTTGGGAGGCTTAGGTGGGCGGATCAACTTGAGGCCAGGAGATCAAGAACAGCTTGGCCAACATGGTGAAACCCCATCTCTACTAAAAATACAAAAAATTAGTGGGCATGGTGGCACACACCTGTAGTTTCAGCTGCTCAGGAGGCTGAGGCACAAGAATTGCTTGAGCCCAGGAGGGAGAGGCTGCAGTGAGCCCAGATTGCACCACTGCACTCCAGCCTGGGCAACAAAACAAGACTGTCTCAAAAAAAAAAAAAAGAAAGAAAAGAAAAGAAAAAAAGAAATCAGGGGTACATATGCCTTTAAAAACTGTGTGAACTTAGATAAGTTACCTAACCTCTTTAAGTCTCGGTTTTCTGAGACTAGGTTTTCTCATTGATAAAACAGAATCATAGTACCTACCAAAGAGAGTTTATTTCAGGTTTGGTGACATAATCCTGTGAAATGTTTGGTTTGGTAAATAACACATAGTTAATGCTCAAAAAAGGTTAGGTATAACAATCATCACCATCATAATTTTATTATTAAGTAATAATGTTAGTTTAACTTTCAGATAACCATTAGATTCTGCATTCCTCACTCATCTACTAGCTGGTTCTATGCCACTAGCAAGAAAAGAAAGCAGAGACAGAGACAGACACAGTGGGGTCTAAGGTTTCTTCTCTAATTATATCCCAAACTTGTCTGCTAGTTGTTATTATTTCTACTTATTCTCTCCAACCATTAATACCGTATGTTATTCATATATTACAATTTGTCATTAAAGAAACAAATAATGCTTTCATGAAAAACTTACCCTTCTACAATAGTTCGATTAGCCAATCGTATACAATGTTCCCAAAGTATATTAGACACAGGCAAGGGTATGCGAACTCTCTTAGAAACTTCATTTAGCCTCCTGTTAAACTGCTCAAATTCCTAAGAAGACAAATAGGTAGCTGTTTGTGAATATCATTAAAATGCCACAATGCTTTCCCATAAAAATTGTTTAAATAAAAAAGATTTAGAAAGACTCAGAATCAAACCAAGTAAAATCAAAAAAGATAATGCCAAAGATAATTTGGACTTAGTATGAAGGCCTTAAAAACATATATGCACTAGTTTAAATAGATTATGTTATAGTACAGAGTACACTACATTTTATCGCAAAAGGAGTAAGTGTCATTAACTGATTAAACAATGTTAACAATGTCCAATATCTCAAAATTTTCTATGGTTGTCAGTACAGATGAATAGAGCTGAATGACCTAATTTGGCTTTAAAAATATCTTCAAGAAACCCAGGTTTAAAAACATGGTTTGACATGCGTTCAGTTCAGAACTATTTGTGATTTGTATCTATACTCTTCAGAGTGCAATCTAATAAATTATCACTTTTCCTAAACACTTTTTAAAAATAAATAATGATATGGGTTGAGGATGCCTTATCTAAAATGCTTGGGGCCAGAAGCATTTTTGGACTCTGGATTTTTTCCAGTTTTGGAATATTTGCATTATACCTACTGGTTGAGAATCCCAAATCTGAAAATCTCAAACCAGAATTCTGAAATGCTCCAATGACCAGTTCCTCTGAGTGTCATGCTGGCACTCAAGAAGTTTTAGATTCTGGATTATTTGAAATACTGGATTTTCGAATTTGGGATGCTCAACCTGTATACCAAATGATTAAAAAATCATACTCTAGCTGCAAATTTTTAGTACAACGGAAACAATAAAACATAGTTTCTATTACCTACAGAAAAACTGAATATTTTTATTGTCTTTTATGACATGATCATACTAAAAATATAAATACATATACCTGATTTAGACAACTCCAATAATTAGACGGAAAGAGCAGAAGGTTTAGCCTTCAATGGATGTGTTTTTGGTCTCTTTGGACTACTGCTATTTAAATATACTCATTTACAGAAGTAAATGCTGTTGACTGTTCCCTGGCAATATATTTCAAATATAAGAAGACTTAAAATGACATTTTTCTTTAGTTACCTGAATAGAGAAGCTACACAATGTTTAACAAGACTGACGTGTTCAACTTTTCTAATAATACACAGGAGAAAAAATCTAATCTGATCACCACTCAGGCTAATGACAACTGTGTTATCCTCTGCTCTTTTGCTACTTCCTAAATCACAATTTTTCTTGCTAATTTATTTTTAACAATTCGTTGCTTTTAATTATTAAAAAGAAGTGGATTGTCAATTCACAAAATTTACCTTTGAAAATCAAAACTATACAAATAATTGCTCTTTGTCTGTTGTTTCATTTCATGGATCTAGGAGAGTAGTAGTATTTGTTACTGTATTTATTTATGCATTCCTTAAACTGCTTTGGATTTCAAGAGTCATAATTCAATATTTTTCATCAATATTTTATTTAAAAGATAAAGCTATATGTATAAAATGCTTTGTGTACAAAATAACATTCTACTTATTGCTAAATTAAATGCTCAAAAATGCTTGTTATAAAATGAATCATACAAACATTTCATTTTTCTTATGATTCTTTTGGGGCAATATAAGCAGATTGTTTAGATTTAGATGCTTAGACTTAGAAAAGTAACAGAAAGAACAAAAGTTATCACAGATAATTAACCTTTATGCTTAAAGAAGGCCTTAAGCTGCTAAAAATTGGGCTCAGGTTAATACTCTGAGTAACACGAGTTCTTTCTTATAACTGGAATAACAAATAACTGAAACAAGCAGCCTCCTCACAGCATGTGTATCTGTTGAGCACAGAAATCTTTTTTTCTTGCACCCTATAAGGATCATGGTTAGTATGTTCTATGGTCTGAATGTTGTATCCTCCCTAAATTCATATGTTGAAATCCTAATCCCAGGGTGATGGTATTGGGAGGTGGGGCTTTTTAAAAGTGATTAGGTCATGAGGGCCAAGCTCTCACCAAGGGAATTAACACCCTTATAAAAGAGCCCCAGAGAGCTGCCTTGCCTTTTTTACCATGTTAGGGTACAGCAAGGTGACATCTATGAGAAATCAAACCTTCACTAGACACCAAATCTGCCTGAGCCTTGATCTTGATCTTGAACTTCTCAGCCTCCAGAACGGTGAGAAATAACTGCTCTGCTTATAAGCCACCTAGTCTGTGGAACTTTGTTGTAGTATCCTAAAGGACTAAGACAGCATGTCATAAAAAATAGAACCATTTTTTCAAAAACAGAATTGTTAAAAAAAAAAGAAGGGGTATCATTATTTATAAATTACATTCATCTTTTACATTCCAAATGAAAATTTGCAATTGAAATCTCCTGGGTGCTCTAGAAACCAAGTTATTTCTTTGATTCTCTTTCAAGGTCAATGGTCTCTGAATTCCAGAGTGGCAAATATAGAGCACCCTTGGTGTCATTCCCCGCTAAGATCTCTATGGAAACTCCTAGCAATTGGTTACTGATGTTGGCACAATTAGTCCCGGAGTCTGGAGACAGCCTCACAGTCTTCAACCTAGGCCTCCAAAGGGGACCATAAATTGCTGGGAGTTGGGTGACTGAAGGAACTCCATTACCATCTCTATTTTAAATCTATGGCTCTGTTCATTGGTTCTCAGCTGTCCTAGGCTCTTATTTGTTGACTTGGTCTAAGCAGGTAAGAATGATTGTGTAAATGAGATTAAAGTAAGGAGGTTAAGAAGGGACAATTTTCTTTTCATTTACAAAAATGAAAACACATTTTTCCTGAAAGTTACTTTCATTTTCTCAGATGCTCTTTCCACACTTTATTTCCTTACTTCCCTCAGGCCTCATCTCCAGTCTCACCTTATCAGGGTCCTTCTCTGAGCATGACAATACATGGTCTTCCTCTTCCACTCACATCCTGTCATTCTCTATCTCTCTTCAGATGATTTTGCTTTTTTTTTCACAGCATTATTCATCATCTGATATTATATCTCAATTTACCTGTTTACTGCTATCTCTGCCCTGGCATGTAAATTCCTTGAGGGCACATAAGTTCCTGAATTCACAGCTATACTGCCAGCACTTCTATCAGCGTGTGACACATATCAGGTGATCTACAGATATCTTATTCATGCATCAATGAAAAAAAACCACAATTCTTTCCAGGAAACATATAAACACAGGTCATTGGCTCCAAAGAGGTGTTTGTATGACACACTGCAAAAGTAGTGTGATTTTTACCCCGAATAATCAGAGGCATGGTCTCTTGCTAATGAATATTATGCTAAACTACAGAAATAATTTCTAATTAAACAGAAATATCTTCTTGTCATTATAGTGATGGCTACTGAGATTACATAATATGAAAGTCAGCCACGACATACAACAACTCAAAATGGGAAATTAGTGAACAAAGCTAAAAAATCTACGACGTATTCTTAGAGCTAATAGAAGACAAATTCAGAAAGTAAGCCTATTTCAATTCAGGGGCTTTAATACCACAATGCTAGAAATGTGGTAATAACTATAATCTTACTATTTTAGAGCCACTGCAATAAAGGAACACTTCTCTTAGTAGATTGATCTTTAGCACAGGTGCTTCCCAGAACACTTGCCTTTAATAGTGCATCTACATATATGTTGTGCTGTGACATAATTTCTTTTACATCCCATTTCACATTAGCCATGAGAAGCAGCATCTGTTCATAATCAAGGGCTTTACCAGCTACAATCCAGTAAATTGGTTTCCGTAGTTCACTGGCGGTTGAGACTGTCTGAAATAAATTTCACAAAAATGAAAACAATTATTTTCTAAAAGTATCATATTGATAAAGAATACTTGCCCCTGTTTCCAGTATATATCATATCTGAAAATAAAACACTATATATTTGGAGATTTAAATTATGATGAAAATAATTTGAATATTTGAGTGAAGGCAAAGGCCTTACTCAAAACATAATTTTGAGACATTCAATAAACTTGAAGCCATTGACACTGCAACTGTCAAAGAACTAGAGCTCTTCATGTAGCCTAGCAATTACTTCTCAAATTCTTCCACTTCTCTCCATTTCCACTCCCACTACATGATGTCAGGATTCCACCATCTCTCCCCTGCAATACTGCAGCAGCCTTCAAATTAGTTTCCCTGTCTCTAGGACTGTCTACAGTCCTTTCTTCCACAATGCCCCCAGAAAACTAAAACACAAACCCAACCATGCCACTCACCTGTTTCAAACCCTCCAGGAGCTTCCATGCCCTCCAAATAAAGTCCAACTCCTGAAGCAGGGTGCTTTACATGCCAGTGGTTCCTGCTGATTGCCCCAGCCATCTTTCTCATCCCCAGACCTCCTCCCAACTCTAACAAGCTTTCCTCAGCTGTTTGCATGCACCATGCTCTTTCTCACCTGCAGGTCTTCAGACATGCCATTCCCTTTGTCTAGAATCCATCCCTCATTCACCCTCTCTACCCTGCTGGTCCAGTTTAAACATTACTTCCTCTAGATAGCCTTTCTAGATGACCTTCTCCCACCCAAAGCCTCTCCCCTTCTCCAGTCTGGGTTAAATACACTCATGGCACTTTCCCCTTACCACAGTACTTATCATGCTTTATTTTAACAGTTTTAACTGATGCTCTCTCTCTCACTAGTCTAAAAGTTACATGAGGTGCTCGATAGTATGTATTTAATGTAGGAATTCATGAGTGAATAAATGAATATTTTATCTGGCTCTCCTGGGGTTTCAAGACTGACTTCCAGTTAAAAAAAACAACAAAAAATCTAAATAATCTGTGACAGTCCTATCTTCCTCACAGTTGAAATGACATACAAGACCATGTCTGACCTGAGAATAGAACTGCTGAAGAAAGGGCTTTTTGACTGCAGGCATCACAGCATCCAGATGTGGCTGAAGGAACTCAAACTGTTCAGCCAAGAATACCCTAAAGGGAATAAATAACCCACTGTGTAAACAAATTGTGTAGGATTTAGAGCCTGTCATGCTTTCGTATAAGTATTTTTTAACATTTCTGAGCAAAACTTTAACAATAAAAATTACTTTCCACTTTAGTGGACGAACCTGTACTACCACTTGACATGTTCATTTATAATCTACACAATAAATAATGCTGAGTTTATGACTGAATGGAAGTTGAGGTGAAAGAAGAACAACTTCAAAGGAGCCAAGCAGCTTATGATGAGGTGTAGTCATGTGCTTCAAATGTAAGATGTGAGCCCAGAGTAGCAGGTTGAAAAAAGAACACAAGGGTATTTTTTTAAAGGATTTCTTTTAAAGATCTCATTCAGTTATACACAACAGACTCTTGAAATCTCAGATTCAATATCTGACACTTTTCAGAAGTAACCCCAACATTCCTAATAGGCAGCAGACTGTAACTTGGCTGAGTATCACAGATGAATGACAGGTGCCAGAGGCTGGGTACAGGAATGGGAGTCAGTGGGCTGGTGAAGGAGCCTGGACTACTGCCTGCAGTTGCACTGCATCCAGGCACTGTCTTTTTCTGCTTTTTCTTACTAATGCAAAAACTCTTATGTTATATTGGACTACATTTTATAGAAATGCCAAAGAAGTTATATGCGTTAATTGTATTACTAACTTTAGGGATTTATAAAGGTCAGGAAGCATTCTTTTTTTTTTCTTTTTTTTAATTATTATTATTATAATACTTTTTTAGGGTACATGTGCACAATGTGCAGGTTACTTACATAGGTATACATGTGCCATGCTGGTGCGCTGCACCCATTAACTCGTCATCTAGCATTAGGTATATCTCCCAGTGCTATCCCTCCCCCCTCCCCCCACCCCACAACAGTCCCCAGAGTGTGATGTTTCCCTTCCTGTGTCCGTGTGTTCTCATTGTTCAATTCCCACCTATGAGTGAGAATATGCAGTGTTTGGTTTTTTGTTCTTGCGATAGTTTACTGCGAATGATGATTTCCAATTTCATCCATGTCCCTACAAAGGACATGAACTCATCATTTTTTATGGCTGCATAGTATTCCATGCTGTATATGTGCCACATTTTCTTAATCGAGTCTATCATTGTTGGACATTTGGGTTGGTTCCAAGTCTTTGCCATTGTGAATAGTGCCACAATAAACATACGTGTGCATGTGTCTTTATAGCAGCATGATTTATAGTCCTTTGGGTATATACCCAGTAATGGGATGGCTGGGTCAAATGGTATTTCTAGTTCTAGATCCCTGAGGAATCGCCACACTGACTTCCACAAGGGTTGAACTAGTTTACAGTCCCACCAACAGTGTAAAAGTGTTCCTATTTCTCCACATCCTCTCCAGCACCTGTTGTTTCCTGACTTTTTAATGATTGCCATTCTAACTGGTGTGAGATGGTATCTCATTGTGGTTTTGATTTGCATTTCTCTGATGGCCAGTGATGGTGAGCATTTTTTCATGTGTTTTTTGGCTGCATAAATGTCTTCTTTTGAGAAGTGTCTATTTATATCCTTTGCCCACTTTTTGATGGGGTTGTTTGTTTTTTTCTTGCAAACTTGTTTGAGTTCATTGTAGATTCTGGATATTAGCCCTTTGTCAGATGAGTAGGTTGCGAAAATTTTCTCCCATTTTGTAGGTTGCCTGCTCACTCTGATGGTAGTTTCTTTTGCTGTGCAGAAGCTCTTTAGTTTAATTAGATCCCATTTGTCAATTTTGGCTTTTGTTGCCATTGCTTTTGGTGTTTTAGACATGAAGTCCTTGCCCATGCCTATGTCCTGAATGGTAATGCCTAGGTTTTCTTCTAGGGTTTTTATGGTTTTAGGTCTAACGTTTAAGTCTTTAATCCATCTTGAATTGATTTTTGTATAAGGTGTAAGGAAGGGATCCAGTTTCAGCTTTCTACATATGGCTAGCCAGTTTTCCAAGCACCATTTATTAAATAGGGAATCCTTTCCCCATTGCTTGTTTTTCTCAGGTTTGTCAAAGATCAGATAGTTGTAGATATGTGGTGTTATTTCTGTGGGCTCTGTTCTGTTCCATTGATCTATATCTCTGTTTTGGTACCAGTACCATGCTGTTTTGGTTACTGTAGCCTTGTAGTATAGTTTGAAGTCAGGTAGTGTGATGCCTCCAGCTTTGTTCTTTTGGCTCAGGATGGACTTGGCGATGCAGGCTCTTTTTTGGTTCCATATGAACTTTAAAGTAGCTTTTTCCAATTCTGTGAAGAAAGTCATTGGTAGCTTGATGGGGATGGCATTGAATCTGTAAATTACCTTGGGCAGTATGGCCATTTTCATTATATTGATTCTTCCTACCCATGAGCATGGAATGTTCTTCCATTTGTTTGTATCCTCTTTTATTTCTTTGAGCAGTGGTCTGTAGTTCTCCTTGAAGAGGTCCTTCACATCCCTTGTAAGTTGGATTCCTAGGTATTTTATTCTCTTTGAAGCAATTGTGAATGGGAGTTCACTCATGATTTGGCTCTCTGTCTGTTGTTGGTGTATAAGAATGCTTGTGATTTTTGTACATTGATTTTATATCCTGAGATTTTGCTGAAGTTGCTTATCAGCTTAAGGAGATTTTGGGCTGAGACAATGGGGTTTTGTAGATATACAATCATGTCGTCTGCAAACAGGGACAATTTGACTTCCTCTTTTCCTAATTGAATACCCTTTATTTCCTTCTCCTGACTAATTGCCCTGGCCAGAACTTCCAACACTGTGTTGAATAGGATTGGTAAGAGAGGGCATCCCTGTCTTGTGCCAGTTTTCAAAGGGAATGCTTCCAGTTTTTGCCCATTCAGTATGATATTGGCTGTGGGTTTGTCATAGATAGCTCTTATTATTTTGCGATACATCCCATCAATACCTAATTTATTGAGAGTTTTTTGCATGAAGGGTTGTTGAATTTTGTCAAAGGCCTTTTCTGCATCTATTGAGATAATCATGTGGTTTTCGTCTTTGCTTCTGTTTATATGCTGGATTACATTTATTGATTTGTGTATATTGAACCAGCCTTGCATCCCAGGGATGAAGCCCACTTGATCATGGTGGATAAGCTTTTTGATGTGCTGCTGGATTCGGTTTGCCAGTATTTTATTAAGGATTTTTGCATCAATGTTCATCAAGGATATTGGTCTAAAATTCTCTTTTTTGGTTGTGTCTCTGCCCGGCTTTGGTATCAGGATGATGCTGGCCTCAAAATGAGTTAGGGAGGATTCCCTCTTTTTCTATTGATTGGAATAGTTTCAGAAGGAATGGTACCAGTTCCTCCTTGTACCTCTGGTAGAATTTGGCTGTGAATCCATCTGGTCCTGGACTCTTTTTCGTTGGTAAGCTATTGATTATTGCCACAATTTCAGCTCCTGTTATTGGTCTATTCAGAGACTCAACTTCTTCCTGGTTTAGTCTTGGGAGAGTGTATGTGTCGAGGAATTTATCCATTTCTTCTAGATTTTCTAGTTTATTTGCGTAGAGGTGTTTGTAGTATTCTCTGAAGGTAGTTTGTATTTCTGTGGGATCGGTGGTGATATCCCCTTTATCATTTATTATTGCATCTATTTGATTCTTCTCTCTTTTTTTCTTTATTAGTCTTGCTAGCAGTCTATCAATTTTGTTGATCCTTTCAAAAAACCAGCTCCTGGATTCGTTAATTTTGTGAAGGGTTTTTTGTGTCTCTATTTCCTTCAGTTCTCCTCTGATTTTAGTTATTTCTTGCCTTCTGCTAGCTTTTGAATGTGTTTGCTCTTGCTTTTCTAGTTGTTTTAATTGTGATGTTAGGGTGTCAATTTTGGATCTTTCCTGCTTTCTCTTGTGGGCATTTAGTGCTATAAATTTCCCTCTACACACTGCTTTGAATGTGTCCCAGAGATTCTGGTATGTTGTGTCTTTGTTCTTGTTGGTTTCAAAGAACATCTTTATTTCTGCCTTCATTTCGTTATGTACCCAGTAGTTATTCAGGAGCAGGTTCAGTTTCCATGTAGTTGAGCGGTTTTGAGTGAGATTCTTAATCCTGAGTTCTAGTTTGATTGCACTGTGGTCTGAGAGATAGTTTGTTATAATTTCTGTTCTTTTACATTTGCTGAGGAGAGCTTTACTTCCAAGTATGTGGTCAATTTTGGAATAGGTGTGGTGTGGTGCTGCAAAAAATGTATGTTCTGTTGATTTGTGGTGGAGAGTTCTGTAGATGTCTATTAGGTCTGCTTGATGCAGAGCTGAGTTCAATTCCTGGGTATCCTTGTTAACTTTCTGTCTCGTTGATCTGTCTAATGTTGACAGTGGGGTGTTAAAGTCTCCCATTATTAATGTGTGGGAGTCTAAGTCTCTTTGTAGGTCACTCAGGACTTGCTTTATGCATCTGGGTGCTCCTGTATTGGGGTGCATATATATTTAGGATAGTTAGCTTTTCTTGTTGAATTGATCCCTTTATCATTAAGTAATGGCCTTCTTTGTCTCTTTTGATCTTTGTTGGTTTAAAGTCTGTTTTATCAGAGACTAGGATTGCAACCCCTGCCTTTTTTTGTTTTCGATTTGCTTGGTAGATCTTCCTCCATCCTTTTATTTTGAGCCTATGTGTGTCTCTGCCCGTGAGATGGGTTTCCTGAATACAGCACACTGATGGGTCTTGACTCTTTATCCAATTTGCCAGTCTGTGTCTTTTAATTGGAGCATTTAGTCCATTTACATTTAAAGTTAATATGGTTATGTGTGAATTTGATCCTGTCATTATGATGTTAGCTGGTTATTTTGCTCGTTAGTTGATGCAGTTTCTTCCTAGTCTGGATGGTCTTTACATTTTGGCATGATTTTGCAGCGGCTGGTACCGGTTGTTCCTTTCCAGGTTTAGCGCTTCCTTCAGGAGCTCTTTTAGGGCAGGCCTGGTGGTGACAAAATCTCTCAGCATTTGCTTGTCTGTAAAGTATTTTATTTCTCCTTCACTTATGAAGCTTAGTTTGGCTGGATATGAAATTCTGGGTTGGAAATTCTTTTAAGAATGTTGAATATTGGCCCCTACTCTCTTCTGGCTTGTAGAGTTTCTGCCGAGAGATCTGCTGTTAGTCTGATGGGCTTCCCTTTGAGGGTAACCCGACCTTTCTCTCTGGCTGCCCTTAACATTTTTTCCTTCATTTCAACTTTGGTGAATCTGACAATTATGTGTCTTGGTGTTGCTCTTCTCGAGGAGTATCTTTGTGGCATTCTCTGTATTTCCTGAATCTGAACGTTGGCCTGCCTTGCTAGATTGGGGAAGTTCTCCTGGATAATATCCTGCAGAGTGTCTTCCAACTTGGTTCCATTCTCCCCGTCACTTTCAGGTACACCAATCAGACGTAGATTTGGTCTTTTCACATAGTCCCATATTTCTTGGAGGCTTTGTTCATTTCTTTTTATTCTCTTTTCTCTAAACTTCCCTTCTCGCTTCATTTCATTCATTTCATCTTCCATCGCTGATACCCTTTCTTCCAGTTGATCGCATCGGCTCCTGAGGCTTCTGCATTCTTCACGTAGTTCTCGAGCCTTGGTTTTCAGCTCCATCAGCTCCTTTAAGCACTTCTCTGTATTGGTTATTCTACTTATACATTCGTCTAAATTTTTTTCAAAGTTTTCTACTTCTTTGCCTTTGGTTTGAATGTCCTCCCGTAGCTCGGAGTAATTTGATCATCTGAAGCCTTCTTCTCTCAGCTCGTCAAAGTCATTCTCCGTCCAGCTTTGTTCCGTTGCTGGTGAGGAACTGTGTTCCTTTGGAGGAGGAGAGGTGCTGTGCTTTTTAGAGTTTCCAGGTTTTCTGCTCTGTTTTTTTCCCCATCTTTGTGGTTTTATCTACTTTTGGTCTTTGATGATGGTGATGTACAGATGGGTTTTTGGTGTGGATGTCCTTTCTGTTTGTTAGTTTTCCTTCTAACAGACAAGACCCTCAGCTGCAGGTCTGTTGGAGTACCCAGTCGTGTGAGGTGTCAGTGTGCCCCTGCTGGGGGGTGCCTCCCAGTTCGGCTGCTCGGGGATCAGGGGTCAGTGGTCAGGGACCCACTTGAGGCAGTCTGCCCGTTCTCAGATCTCCAGCTGCGTGCTGGGAGAACCACTGCTCTCTTCAAAGCTGTCAGACAGGGACATTTAAGTCTGCAGAGGTTACTGCTGTCTTTTTGTTTGTCTGTGCCCTGCCCCCAGAGGTGGAGCCTACAGAGGCAGGCAGGCCTCCTTGGGCTGTGGTGGGCTCCACCTAGTTCGAGCTTCCAGGCTGCTTTGTTTACCTAAGCAAGCCTGGGCAATGGCGGGTGCCCCTCCCCCAGCGTCACTGCCGCCTTGCAGTTTGATCTCAGACTGCTGTGCTAGCAATCAGCGAGACTTCGTGGGCATGGGACCCTCCGAGCCAGGTGCGGGATATAATCTCCTGATGCACCGTTTTTTAAGCCCGTCGGAAAAGCACAGTATTCGGGTGGGAGTGACCCAGATTTGCAGGTGCCGTCTGTCACCACTTTCTTTGACTAGGAAAGGGAACTCCCTGACCCCTTGTGCTTCCCTAGTGAGGCAATGCCTCGCCCTGCTTCGGCTCATGCACAGTGCGCGCACCCACTGACCTGCGCCCACTGTCTGGCACTCCCTAGTGAGATGAACCCGGTACCTCAGATGGAAATGCAGAAATCACCCGTCTTCTGTGTCGTTCACGCTGGGAGCTGCAGACTGGAGCTGTTCCTATTCGGCCATCTTGGCTTCTCCCCAGGAAGCATTCTTATTGATGTCAAGGATCAACTATACTTAACACTAAATTGACAATGCAACTACAGCTTCTCCTGAGATCATAAGTCATCAATAGGAAAATATGAAGCATAGTATAATGCTTTTTAAAGTTGTACTTAAAGCATGGATCATGTTGTTAAAGGCTGAAAATTAAAAGATTTCCTTCTTTCCATTTCTATAACTGAAAAACCAACCATGCAGTTTAAAAAATCAATTGGTAATCTGTGTTAGAATATACTTCTCAGAAACATATAAGTGATATTTAGAAGTGGTAGATGTATGCAGCTAACTAGAAGTCTAATTAAACAATGCTTCTTTTATAAAGTTTCTTAAATATTTAATGGCAACGCAACTGTTTTGAACAACTTACAAGGATTCCGTGGCTACCACTCTTTCTGCCAACCCATACAGCGTATCCCCAGATGTCAAAACCACTAGGTGACTGAGGTGTGGACTTGGCACCTTCTCCTTTCTTTCTTCTGCTGCTGTGAGTGTGGCAGTAGGATCAGCTGAAACTTCCTGAAAATACAATAGATATACAACCTGGAATAACAAATCTAACAGTAATAAACCACGTGATTTTGACAAAATTAGAATTAAAATTAAAATACTCTTGGGGCACACGTTAATTACATTTAGGTTCAGTTCTTTTTATCCTGCTTTCATGTTTGTAACTATTGGAACCTTCTTTTTAATCCTAAATGAGAATGAGCCTACATAATATCATCCAACTCTACATGCTACCATCTGTACATGACCTAAAGTCTGTCAACACAAGGACTCTTTATGAATTGACAGATGTTTCACAGTGACAACAGTGAGATGGCCCTCAAGAACTTGTAAATGAGAGAAATATGATTACCCCTTGAGAACCATGCTGATAAAATCCAAAATTATTTTTTGATTAACCATCTCACACCCAAATTTTAATGAAGGTTACCCTGGTATATAATCTCAAGAAGGCAGGACTAGAATGAAGTTATAAACTAGAACAGAGCCAACTGTATTGTATATGTCTGGGGACAGACTGCTGATAAGAAGGAAGATGGTCAATGTGAACAAAGGAAAGGGATACCCAGGAAGCAGGGTGTGCCAGGCTCTTCAGCACCATCCAGGAGAGAACCACTGATTCAGTTACACAGCCATGTAGTCAACAGGAGTGATGCAGTCTAATTTGTGGTCGGGAAAACTCATCGGACTTCAAATTTCTCAGTTTTACTTTCATCTGATGATATACTCATTAGAAATCTTCTCATTACTAATTTACCTTTCTAGGTATTCTGATGCCAGGCAACGAATGCCTTGGATATGAGTTTATGTACATTCTTGGACTTCATATAAACATATCCTATGTTATAAACAAACAGGTTGGCAAAGGAAGAGTTTCAAAGATACACTTACTCAACTTCTCAATACATAGCAAGGGACTCATTTTTTACTAAGCTCTTAGCAAACAGTTAAAAAAACAAAAACACATTTCAACTCCCAGGCACACTGGCCACCTTTTTTTGCCAGGAGGATGGGAATATCTTGAGATCATGGGTAAAGATGCACAAGGCTGGCTACTCGGAGTAGCTGACAGAGTACCAGAAGACTGCCAGCTCAAGAGTTACCAATCACTCCAAATATTTCAATATTTAACTTAATATAAACTTATTTTGGTGACTAAGTTTCCCTTTGTACAGCAAACATGAAAGAAGGCTGTTTAGAATACTGGCATCATCATAACAGTTATTTGAATAGTTGCTGCATTACACCTCAGAGAAAGAGACTTTTAATTATTGTTTTCTGGGGCACGAAGGAGAGAGGTCAAGGTAGTGACACTGCAGGAATCTTAACATCACTGATGACAGTATAATCCAGGGTCACTTCACTGTGAAGGCCATTAAGAACTTTTATAACCAAATATATTTCTAATAACAATGAGCTTGAATTACAAATGGTCATTATACTTTTAGTTTAACTATAGAGTTTTACAGTACTGACATGGCAATGAATTCCATTCATTACATTTTTTAAAAAATTCCATAAGAGAAATTTACAAAAAGAAAAAAAATAGAATAAAAGCTATGTAAGTTAAGCAATAGCTCATAGTACAAAAATGCTATTATCTTTTTTAAAGTTAATCTGAATACAAGTTAACCCCTGCCCCCACTCAAAGTTTTAAAATGTTGATTGAATCATAGAATGACAGAGTTAGAAGAGATGCTAAACATTATATAATACAACCCCTGCAGTTTATGTACTACTTTCAGTATGGAAAACACTCCATGGTTATCTCTATTATGGAGTTTAAAGGTGAGAACATATGAGTAGGCAGATAGCAAAACTAAATGTTTAAATGCAAATAAAATAGCTTTAAAAAACCCTCAAAGAAAATTTAGCACAAAAATTGGATGTAAACGCATCTAATAGTGTACAAAATATAAAGCTAGATTACTTTTTACAGCAACTTGATAGTAACAAATCTCCAATTATTTTCCATATGAATAAATGAGACATCAAATGCATACATATAATTTACTCCTATAAATTTAGCAAAATGCAAATAAAAATTATAAAACTTTTCAAGTTAGAAAGTGGTTTAATTCTTTAGTTCTGTTTTTTTTTTTTTTATTTCCTATCTTCTCCTAAAGACAGTGTCTCTTTTCAATCTCTAATTACTCAATTAGCATTTAAAAGTTAGTTGGGGAATAACTGTGCTTCCTCTAGGGAGAAGCAGGATCATGGATCCATGCAAGTTAATTAATGTCGTATCTCCATCATTCATTTCCCTCTAAAAAGGAAATAACCCTACTCCAGCAGAAAAAAAAAAGGAGAATAAAAATTCACAAAATTAAATACTGTTTGGCACCAATTGGTTGTCTATGCTATTTAATTCTGGTAGTTATTGATAAGAAACAAGTAAGGAACCTTACAGTCATTCATGACTCCCCTTCTTCCTCACCTTCCACATCCAATCAATCACTAAAACATGCCTAAACAGACACCTCTCTTGTTTGTTCCTTCCGGATGTTACTATTTAAACAGGTCACAGGCTCCTTAGCAGTCTTGACTGGACTATTCTAAAAGCCCATGAATAGAGAGCTCTGTCTCTAGCATCTCCTATTTCTATGCCAGTTTCCACACAGTTAACTGATTGATTTTTCTACAATACTGATGTGAACTTTCTCAAATAGAGATGTGATCATAACACTCCCTGGTTTTAAAGCCTCAATCCAACCCTTCCAGGAAAAAGTCTATAAACATGTTACCATGCTATTACCTGTTTACAACTGACTCTAGCCTAAAACACTGTTCCCCAAAATATCTTCCCCCTACTAGAAAATAAACTCTACATGGGTAGGGAGTTTTGTTTGGCTTCCCCACCTTCCCCTACAATTGTATTCTTAATTCCTAGAACAGTGCTTGGCACCATATATAGTGTTCAACAAACAGATACTATATAAACATTTGTTGAATAAGGGTGGCTCACTCTCCTATTTCCTTTAGGGATCTTCTTCAATGTTCCTTTCCAGAGGGATCTTCTCTAACTGCCCAAATAAAATTACACCCTTTCTCTCTCTGTCCTTCTCACCTAATTTCTTCATTGCTTTCAACACAATCTGATGTTAAATTAGATCTTCATTTATTCCTTAACTGCCTCCTCCACTCCGGGGACCATCAGTCTACCACAAAGTACCTAGGCATGCAATATGTATTGTGGAATGAATTAGTAATAAAGATAGCTATCCAACTATCTTGTATCTCATCCTGCACCCTCATCACATAGCTCGTTTTCTGTCTGCTTCCAATACCTCTTAGAGTGCTCTCAACTTTCTTCTTAGTTCAGAGTTGTAAATACCTATTTCAGAACAAGTCAAAGAATGGTGAGGAGACCTAAAACTCTGAAACATGAAAAATGAATAAAGGAACTGGTAGAAGAAATGACTTACTTGGGCAAAATGGGTGGCTACTCAAAGTGGTCCAAAAGAGGTAGAAATATAAATAACAGAAAATAGTTCAAGAGAGAAGCATATTTGGTTACATCATAACAAAGCACATTCTATCAGGCAAACTTAAGGCAAGCAGGGCTGCTTTGGGTGGTTATGAGTTCCCAGAAAAACATCACTGGAGATGTTCAAGCAGAAGCTGACAGTTACTAGGTATGTATGAATGCTGTACAGGTTAAGTGAGCACAGATAAGTTTCCTTCTATGAGTAAAAACTTGGAAGATTATACTCCAATAGTATAACAAAACTCTAAGCATCAAACACTTCTGCTTTTAAAATATTGTATAATTAAGCTAAATCTGATATGAATTTTCTGACAATATTGTACAATCTCAAACTCAAAATAGCTCAAGGATCCCCATGAATACCACATACTTATAATAGCAGTTACTTTTAAATTTCATTCTTTTGGATTAGATATCATATACACAATATATTTATAAAACTAAAAGTTTCTTTGAATTTAGGTACTAACTAGTTAATTAGGGATAGAACAGGGAGGTGGCTCTAGAAAATAATGGAAGTCAAGGAGAGGGTATATCTATAGTCTGAGAGAATACAGTTATCTTCCATATGACAAGAGGAGCCAAAAGCATTTACCTAACTACCTCCTTAGTGCCTCCAACACAAATGCACTGAGTTCCCTTCTACTCAGGGAGCTCTTTCACAAAAGCATTCTTTAGAAGATCACTGGAATTGTTGCCCCCACTTCAAAAGGCTTTCATTAAAATACCTTCCTTTGTTCCCAGTTGTAAGCCTGGCATTTGAGGCATAAAATTTATGATAATTATTTGCTTAAAGACTAAAGTTCTGTGTTTATATTTAGGAAAATACGCTTGAAGAGAGCAAGAGAGTCACGAAAATGTCAAGCTGACATAAATAAATGGTATGTGCTTACTGCACACTTAAATAAAAAGCTCCTAAACTGGCTGTTTCAGTTTATAGGAGTACAATAAGTAAAGGATATAACCCTTTAAAGATTGAAAAATGAAACCTTAACCACCTTTATTTTCACAGTGAGAGTCACATTTTTTAGCCTTTCCTACCACCAATGTACTACTACAAAGAGAATTCATATTTATGAATTTTTCTGGACAAATTTAAAATACTTTTTATTATCAAAGATTTAAAGTTGGCTAAAGGCCCAGGTGCAGTGGCTCATGCCTGTAATCCCAGCACTTTGGGAGGCTGAGGCAGAAGGATCACCTGAGGTCAGGAGTTCAAGACCAGCCTGGCCAACATGGCAAACCTGTCTCTACTAAAAATACAAAAACTAGCCGGGCGTGGTGGTGACAGCCTGTAATTCCAGCTACTCGGGAGGCTGAGGCAGGAGAATTGCTTGAACCTGGGAGGTGGAGGTTGCAGTGAGACAAGATCTTACCACTGCACTCCAGCCTGGGTGACATAGTGAGACTGTCTCATAAGCAAATAAATAAATAAGTTGGCTAAAGGTCTTAAAGCAAACAATTTAGTTAGCATAACCAAATGGATAACTAAAAATTCAACTTTCTGCTGTCACTATCGCCTATACCAGCTTCCTTTCTTACTTTTCCTATTAGACAACTTTTCTTAAATTTTTATTTGATGTGACAAACAAATTTTCTTAGTTTACATTGAATTTACATGATAAATTATTTCGGGTGGCACTTTTAAGACCACAATGATTCTATTTTGCCTTTTACAGCTTAAAGAGAAGTAAAACTTAGAATATCTATATGGAGAAAATAAAATTACCAAAAAAGTATTTATTAAGATTTTAACTGACGTGCAAGAGAAATATAAGGAAAAATATTACTTCCATCTAGTTGGTTTCAGATTGATTAAGCTATAAATTATTTTAGTAGCCAAAGAATGTATTGAGTAGCAAGAAATCAATTAATGTACTCTGCCATTGTAAATGCAAATTAATGAAGTGAAGAAAATTAATACATACCAGCTTAAAAAATCCTGAGATCAAGCAAGTTCTAGTAAATGACAAATATATTTTCTAAAATAACAAACCAATGTTTATCAGTATGAGTAATAATTCATTATACACTATGTGGTAAAATCTGAGGCAGAAATCCACATCTTAAGGGTCAAATCTAGAACTGGAGTTTGATGATCACAAGATAGTAGCTAGCAGGGATGACACAGAAATGCCAGGGTGAATGGCCCTAGTGGTAAAATCTGGCCCATCAATCTTGGGACTTTCAGTAAGAACCAAGAAAAACTTTAGCTGTGGACTAAGATCTGGAGAATAAGATTTGATGCTCAAGGTTATACTTAAGTATCAAATAAGAAGAATCAAAATCGAAACACAGAAAACTGCAAGTGGGGCTGAGACCAATGGATTTTACAAAACAAAGACTAAAAACAAAAAAGAAAAGAAAAAAGAGAAACAAAAAGGGTGGATCAAATAAGGAGCCTTGACTCTGAAATTGAAGATCAAGGATTAAACAAATATCAAAACCAAAAAAACAAGCCAAGTTATGCCAAGAAACAAGAAACTCAGCGACTGGGGTATATTCACCTACTCTATGAACATTTACTGAAGCAATGTTATGTGCCAAGGTAAGTGATATGACTATATTTTTAAAAATGTGTTGGGTAAAAGGATCTCCAAATGTTAAGAGAGAAGGATACCATTTATTTCTTCTGCCCAAACAGCGCTCACCTGAGATATCAGTACATGCCTCACTCACATTATTCACATCTCTGCTCAAGATCCCCATCCTATCACCGCTTCAGTTTCATCTTAGTACTCATGAGTATCTGACACTATGTTACACATTTGTTTGTCTCTCTGCTCCAAAAAAATACAAGTTCCAAGACAGGAAATATCTCTTCTGTGCACTGATGAATTCCCAGCTCTTTAACAATGCCTGGCATATAACAATTGTTGCAACAGTATTTCTTAAAAGAATTAATAATCATGGCTTTATAAAAAGCTTCAATAACAGAGGTAAGCACATAATATAGAGCTTATGAAAAAGGAGGAAAATGATTGCTTGTTTGTGTTAGGTTGAAGGAATAAAGGAAAAGTCAGAGAAGCCTGGGGTTAAAGTAGATGTGGAGAAACGTCTGAATAACATAAATTTCCGGCTACAGTGACCAACCACAAGAAAAAAAGATTTTCTCATTTTAAATGCTTATGTTAGCTGAAACAGTACAGGAGGTCAACCCTGTGTTGCTATCTAACCTATCTTCTTAAAACATGTATTTCATCCTGTGACAACAGTCAAGAACCAGGCTCCCTACTACACAGCAAACTAAACCCAAACTTTCTCCTTGAATTTCAAAGCCGTTTATAAAGTGTCCCAGACACTCTCTGCAACCTAACTCGGCAGCATATACCAGTGTCCCAATCATAAGATCTGTCAAACTTCGGGCTGCACCCACCTCAAGGCCCTTGCTCACCCTGTGTACCTTAATTTAAAGACTTTTCTCTCTCCCATTAATCCTATGCCTGGTCTTCGAAGCCTAGCACAAGTGTTACTTCTTCCTTTAGTCCTCCTCTGATATTAGTTTTTCACATAAACCTTTCTCTTCTTTGAACTTGTGCTAGATATAAGCCCAATATCATATTCTTTTATGTATACTAGTTTCTCTCTGATCAGACTATAAGCAACCTCTGTTTTACTTCCTATATGCACTCATTTAATTCTGAGGACTCAGCTACTCAATACATATAGACACACATTTATATGAAATTGATTGAATAGCTAATTTCCATTTTATATAATCCAAAAGAATTTATTCCAATTCGTTACTTACTAGATCAATAAGGCTTTCTTGTATTCTGTTTAGAGTTGTTCTTAGTCTACTACTACTAAGGCCGAGTCCAGTTGATTCCAACTGAAAAAGAAAAAGGCTTGTTATATCGTTCTAAAGATCATCTTGCAAATGTTACATCTTCAAATTAACCAAGATATTTGATGAGTTTTCACTCAGATACTTAGCCTTCAGAGGGTTTCCAAATTGCATTTACAAATTCTAGCACATCAAACAAAGGAGTCAAATCTCAAGGGAACCAAAGAAACATTTACCTGTGTGCATTTATAGGACACACTAACATCTATCAATCTTAAGAATTATCAGGAGAGAGTTCTCCAGAATTTCTTTCTCGCGAGTCATTATTTTTAGTTGCAAAACTTGAGATTTTAGATAAACATATTACACTCTGTTGTATGTAAGGTATGCTGTGCTGTGTTCATGTGGCAGCATAACAACATAAAGTTATTTATATTTTTTGGTTATTTTTCTTATACAAATTAGCGATAGCTTAACTCCTCATTCAAAAATCAATACGATTTTCTATTAGGCTTAGTAAACATTTCACAGTATAGATAGAAATCTATTCACTACAACAAAGCCAAAGCATTTATAAAAACCTTCACACAAGAGCATAAATGAGAAGGGTAAGAATAAGACATGAAAAGCCAGTTAGTCAGCTCCTTGTGTGATGATTCCATTGATGAAAATAAATTTAATTTAGAGGTAATCATACATAGTTAAAGGCATTTGGAAAAATGTTACAATGTTCTCTGTGAGCCAATAAATTTAAAACATTATTAAGAGTAAGCTATAAAATGTATGTCATTAACATAGTCATAGAAATTATGTATGTATGAGTGTGACTATACACACACACAAGCATACATGAACATTTATTATTCCTCTTCCTCTCCCATTTGAGATACAAGAATGAGAAATTATTTACACGTGTCAGAGAGTCTTACGTGAAAATAGTTGTGCCATAACACTGTGCAATAAAACATGAACTAATTTTATAATATTTAATACATTTTATTTTCTCCAGGTTTTATAAACTTCATTAATCCATTTTTCTTCTATTTTCATTAAGGTATTATTTATATATAAATTACATTCAGTCCTTTTAAGTATACAGTTTGATGAATTTGGTAATAGCATACAATCTCGCAACCAGCACCATAATAGAGTTCCCTCCCCCTTAAAAATGTCCTCATACCTTTTGCCCTTATCCCCTTCCCTCACCCTTAACCCCTGACCTGCTTTCTCTCACTGTAGTTTTTGCCTTTTCTAAAATTTCATATAAATGGAATCACATAGTATATAATCTTTTGTGTTTGATGTGTTTTACTCAGAATGCTTTTGAGATTCATCCGTGTTGAGTCTGGTGGTATTTTGTAGTGTTTTATTGCTTTATTGTATTTAGTAGTATGGATACAGTACAATCTCTTTACTTGTTCAGTTTACTGATTCGGTCAATTAACATTTGGGTTCCAGTTTTGGGCTATTTGAATAATGTCACCATGAACATTCATGTGTGTGTCCTTGTCGGGACATATATTATTTTCACTTATCTTGGGTAAATAACTAGAAATCGATATTCTAATTCATATACTAAATATGTTTTTAACCTTATAAGGTACTTCCACGTTGTTTTCTAAAGTAGCTGTACTGTTTTCATTTCTTCACACAATGTATGTGAATTCTATTTGTTCCATGTCATGGACTAAACGTTTGTGTTTTCCCTCAAAATGCATGTTGACACCCTAACCCTTAATGTGATAGCATTTGGAGGTGGGGCTTTTGGGAGATAAAATCAGCTTTAGCTGAGGTCATGAGGGTGGGTCCCTGGTATGATGGGATTAGTGCCATTATAAGAAGAGACACTAGAGAGCTTACTATCTCCTTCCACATGATCAAAGGAAAGGCCATGTGAAGACACAGGCAGAAAGCAACCATCTGCTAGCCAGAAAGGGTGCTTCCATCAGAAAATGAATTGGCCACCACCTTGATCTTGGACTTTCTAGCCTCCAGAACTGTGAGAAATAAATTTCTGTTCTTTAGCAGCCGAGTCTATGCTATTCTGCTATGGAAGTTGGAGCAGACTAAGGCTCCACAAACTTGCCAATTCTTAATACTGTCAGGCCTTTTAACTAGCCATTCTAGTGGTTGCACAGAAGTATTGCAATGTGCTTTTAACATGCACTTCTCTGATGACAGTGATGTCAAACATCTTCTCATGTGCTAATTAGCCATTCTCATATCTTCTTTTGCAGTGCAGATACCTGATAAAATCTCTTCCCATTTTTTACGTGGGTTGTTTTCTTATTGAGTTATAAGAGTTGTTTACACTTTGTGTAAACATGCCCTTTCTCAATATGGTTTGCAAAATTTTCTCCTGGTCTGACTTGCCTTTTCGTATTTCTACCTCTTTAGCAAACGTTGTTAACCATGAGGAAGCCCATTTTATCAATATTTTCTTTTATGCTTCATGCTTTTTGTGTCTTTTCAAAGAAGCATATGCCTAACCCAAATGTCACAAAGATTTTCTCCTAGTTTTTTCTAGAAGTTTCATAGTTTTGGAACTTCTTTAGGTCTTACAAACAATGTTTATTTATATTCTTGTGTATGGTATGAAGGGGTTGAGGCTTTTTTTTTCTTTTCATACTTATATCCAAGTGTACCCACACCACTTGCTAAAAAAACTATTTTCTCTAATGAACTGCCTTAGTGCTCTTTTCAAAAATCAGTTGACCATGTAAGTGTGTCTATTTCTGTTGCACTTATCTACCGTTAGGCCAGTACCACATTTTATCAACTACTGTAGCTCTGGAGTAAGTCTTTGTGAAATCAGGTATAAAAATCCTCTAACTCTGGTCTTCAAAAATGTTTTGGCCATTATGAATCTTTTGCTTTTTGTATCAATTTTAAAATAAACTTCTAAATTTCTTCAAAAAAAAAAAAAAAACCTTGTTACAGTTTTGATTGGGATTGTACTGAACCTATAGATTTGGGGAAGACTGCCACCTTTACAATATTGAGTTTTCTAATATATGCACATGGTGTATCTCATTATTTATTTACATAGTCTTTAATTCCATTTCTAATGCTTTAGTATTTTCAGGGTACAAGCCTATCAAGTTATCTGTTACATTTCTAAAAAATTTTGATGTTATTGTAAGTAAAGCTTTTAAAAATTTTTTATTTTCAAACTTGATTATTATTGATTTTTGTATACTGACTTTATATTCTAGGAGTTTGCTAAATGTACTTATTAGTTCTAGAAGCTTATTTGTGGATTCCTTAGGGTTTCCCATGTCATCTGCAATTAAGGACAACCTAACTTCTTTTCCAATCCATATGCCTTATATTTCTTATCTTATGACAAAGACTAGGATCTCCAGCACAATTGTTTGGGTTTTTTTTTTTTTTTTTTTTTGAGACAGGGTCTCGCTCTGTTGCCCAGTTGCCCAGGCTGGAATGCAGTGGCGCAATCACAGCTCACTGCAGCCTCGACCTCCAGGGCTCAAGCGATCCTCCTGCCTCAGCATCCCGAGTAACTGGGACTACAGGAGCAAGCCACCACACTTGGCTAATTTTTGTATTTTTAGTAGGGACTGGGTTTCACCATATTTTCCAGTCCGGTCTCGAACTTCTGGGCTCAAGTGACCCTTCCACCTCAGCCTCCCAAAGTGCTGGGATTACAAGTCTGAACCATCATGCCTAGCCTATTTTTTATATTTAAAGTATGTCTTTTTGTTTTTTAGTGTGGACTTTGTTTTTAATCCATTCTGACAATCTGCCATTTGAGAGTTTAGTCCATTATCATCTAATGTAATGATTAGTTGAGTTTGCACCTACTGTTATATTTTCTCTCTATTTTCCCTCCTTGGTTCTTCCTTTCCTGCCTCTTGTAATTATATATTTTTAGATTTCTACTTTAATATTCCTGTTGGCTAAAAGTTAAAGTTATTTGTAGTATGTTTCATGGTTGTCCTATGGATTACAATACTCATCACTGCTTTACTAATATACAGAAATCTTGCAATCTTATACATCATAACCCCCCACATACTTTGTTGCAGTTTTTATATGTAATACATCTACATATATTATGAACTCCAGGAAGACTATGCTATGATTTCAGTGTTAAACAGCTCTATGGTTTATAAAGAAAGTGGAAAAAGAAAAAAATTATCTTTTGAATTTCCACAGGTAGATTCCATTACCAAGGCTCTTTACTCTTTTCTGAGGATCTAGGTTTTCATGTGTTATCATTCCCCTTCAGTTTAATAACTTCCTTTAGGAATTCTTATATGTCCCTTGTGACAAATTCTCTTAGTATTTTTGTTCTTTTTATCTAAAAGTATCTTAATTTCACTTTCATTCTCGAATGACGTTTTTACTGGATATAAAATTCTGAATAGACATTATTTCTTTTTCTTTTGTACCTTCAAGGTGTTAACTCTCTTCTCATCCCCATAGCTTTTTAATGGGAAGTCAGCTGTTAATCAGATTATTGGTCCCTTTTATATAATACATCTACTATGGTTTTCAAGAAAAAGTTTCATCATAGGTACTCTGCTGTACATTTCTTTATGCTTCCTCTTCTTGCTGTTCATTTAGCATCTTGTGTCTGCAAAATTTTGGCCAGTGTTTTTTCAAATATTTTTTCTGACCCATTCTCTCTCTCTTCTTCTCCATCTAGTATTCCAATTACATGTATGTTTTACCATGTGATATAATCGAACATGTTTGTGAGACTTTTTTCCTTTTAATCCTTTTTTACGCTCTTCACTTTGTATAACTTTGATTTATCTTTAAGTTCACATATTCTTTCTTCTGTCATGTCCATTTGGCTGTTAAGTATATTGAGTAAATTTTTTGTTGTTTTTTGAAATTGTATTTTTCATTTCTAGGATTTCCCTTTGGTTTTTTATTATTGTCACTACCAGAATTTACTATTTCTCTGCTGAGATGTTCATGCATTTAAAATATATTTTGTTTTAATTCATTGAAGACAAGGATAAAAGCCCATTTAAAATCCTTATTCCTTGGTTCCAATATCTTAGAGTTAAACTAGATTGATTTGGTGCTGTGTCTGTTAGGTAAAGTTGGATTACATCACCAATTTCATTCTGGAGATTCTGGATACTAGTCATTTTTCTCCCATAAATACCATTTCCTTTGTTTTCAGTACATAAGTTTCTTGGCTGGGCTTTAACTATAAACTGTCTCTTGTGCAGCAGCTTTGGTCTCCGTTTATATTTTTTTTCTTTCACTGGGCTGCAGTCAGTTTGTTCCATATAATCATGGATCATGGAATCACATATCTCACAGTCCGAGATATAGGTGGACTGAATTTGGAAATCCTCTCTCTGGATTTTTTTCTTCTGAGCGTCCTCCACTATTTTCAGTGTTTCCAGTTTTCTAGCTCCACTTTTCTGATTCTCCAGTCCATAAAAACTTCAGGTTTTCTTGTGCTTGTTCCCCACCGTGGGCCGCATGGACTGCACTTAGAACTGAACTAAAAGCCACAGGGATAAAGTTTATTTTCATAGCTCCCCTTTCTCCCATCTGCAGACTAGCATGGACCCCCCACCACAGTCTATTTGCTGCTTCTGTTTACTCTCCAGCGTCTTCAAATAGTTGCCTTTTCTATAGTATTCAGATTTTATAGTTGTTTTCTGCAGGAAATCTTATCTAGAAAGGGTTTAGTCTGTCATACCCGGAATTGGAAGTTAATTCATTTTTTAAATATATAGATACCTATTTATATAGGCTCTCTACAAAGAAACCGTTTTACTAATGAAAGGTAACCTTAAATGAGGCTCACAAACTGTTGTCAAGTAAGAACCTTCGTAAGATTTACTGGGATGGCAAATAATTAGATCAATCCATATGCCATGAGTGTCTGCTATGTGTTTACTACTGTTTTAAGTAAGTTACAGAATGGTCTTCACAAAAAAATGTGAACCAGAAAGACCAAAGAAAACATAATTTAAGAGGTGAACAATGGAAAGCTGGGGACAAGGCAAGATAAAGCAATACCATGAGTAGCATTATTATAATAGAATCCAATGGATCAGATATAAAATAGAGCATGAGGTAGTAGGTTATAACCAGTTCAGTGAATAGCAGGAGTTTCTGGAGGGAATAGTATTAATAGGAGTAATCCTTTGAACTAATGTATATACTGTGTCCCCAACCAATGATTTCTAGAAGCCAGAACCCCTGAGAAAAAGATACTTATTTTTCCACAAGAAGCATCCATCTAAATTCTCTCACACAAGTCCCTTTCTTCTGACAGAAAAGCAGATACCACCACATAACCTGTTCTTCCCATTCTACACATTACCTGATTCCCCCTCCCCGGTACCACTAACAAACATTCAACAGCTAATGGGGTAAATTTGGAGTATTTATTTATTTTTATGAGTATGAAAAATTCTGTGATTTCTAATGGGCCTGAAAAGCTTATTCTCTTCGGAAATTAAAAACTACCACTTCAGTATTATACACCCGCATGTGCCTATTTGTGCTATTTATTTATAGATTTTCTTTGTTTCAGTATAATTAAATAGCTCTTACTGAGTCTTACAGAATTGAAAATGGTTTAAATATAAAATATCAGATTAGTGTGTTCATAACAAACCTTAAATCAAATATGCAATATATTTTACAATAAGTACCTAACTATACTTTGCTAAATTTCTGGGGTACTAGTAAATGCCATTCTGAAAAAATTCTGTGTCAGTATATAATGAGCTGGGAAATCATGCCCAAAACCATTTGGTTCCCAAAAGTTTCAGAAAGATCTTATTTATTTTAACACATCTTATCAATAATGTGGTCTGGAACTGTTCTGTCCCATATGATAGTAGTCACACGTGGCTATTTATATTTAAAGATTAAATTAACTAAAATTGGATACAATTAAGAATACAGTTCCTAAGTCATTAGTCATACATATTTCAAGCGCTCAACAGCCATGTGTGGCTAGTGGTTACCATACCAGACATTGCTAATATAGAACGTTTCCACTATTGTGAAATTTCTTAGGACTGGTCTAGAGGCATGGCCCAAAAGACAAAGTAAGGCTCACCTACAAGACTAAAACATTCTGACAATTAGCTAAAACTCTACAATGTCTTCCTCAATATTTATTTAGTGAGTTTCCAAATTCAGGGTGATGAATTAATACATACTTTATAGTATATAAATTCTGTAGCAACATTTTGTCACTGGTCATATTAGCATTCTTTCTAAGTAATATTTTTCAGAATTAAGAACCCAGGAAATTCAGGTCCTATATAAAATGATTATGTCTTTGACATACTTGTGATCACAGCAAGGATATAAATATTTATATAATGAATGTAGTTATACATTGAAATTTACATTTTTAAAAAGATATGAAACATAAGTAGTATTATATTCATAGGACTCAATGGAATGTTTTTACACAGAAAACTGTCAAACATCTATGCAAACCACATAATTAATTTTAAAGTATCAAATTAGTTACCTGCCTAATATTGTGTTATTTTCTGTGAGTAGCAGAAAAAGATATACTCAATAAGAGCTTTGGAAACACAGAAAGGAGGTGCAGAAAAACATTAATTCTACGGCAGGTAGATGGCTCAGTTCAGATTTTCAATTATTTTAATAAATATTTTTCATTATTTTTTATTTTTTTTTCTGGGTTTCAATACTGTATTATTTTATTTTATTTTATTTTTTTTTTATTATTATTATACTTTAAGTTTTAGGGTACATGTGCATAATGTGCAGGTTAGTTACATATGTATACATGTGCCATGCTGGTGTGCTGCACCCATTAACTCGTCATTTAGCATTAGGTATATCTCCTAATGCTATCCCTCCCCCCTCCCCCCACCCCACAACAGTCCCCAGAGTGTGATGTTCCCCTTCCTGTGTCCATGTGTTCTCATTGTTCAATTCCCACCTATGAGTGAGAATATGCAGTGTTTGGTTTTTTGTCCTTGTGATAGTTTACTGAGAATGATGATTTCCAATTTCATCCATGTCCCTACAAAGGACATGAACTCATCATTTTTTATGGCTGCATAGTATTCTATGGTGTATATGTGCCACATTTTCTTGATCCAGTCTATCATTGTTGGACATTTGGCTTGGTTCCAAGTCTTTGCCATTGTGAATAGTGCCACAATAAACATACGTGTGCATGTGTCTTTATAGCAGCATGATTTATAGTCCTTTGGGTATATACCCAGTAATGGGATGGCTGGGTCAAATGGTATTTCTAGTTCTAGATCCCTGAGGAATCGCCACACTGACTTCCACAAGGGTTGAACTAGTTTACAGTCCCACCAACAGTGTAAAAGTGTTCCTATTTCTCCACATCCTCTCCAGCACCTGTTGTTTCCTGACTTTTTAATGATTGCCATTCTAACTGGTGTGAGATGGTATCTCATTGTGGTTTTGATTTGCATTTCTCTGATGTCCAGTGATGGTGAGCATTTTTTCATGTGTTTTTTGGCTGCATAAATGTCTTCTTTTGAGAAGTGTCTATTTATATCCTTTGCCCACTTTTTGATGGGGTTGTTTTTTTCTTGCAAACTTGTTTGAGTTCATTGTAGATTCTGGATATTAGCCCTTTGTCAGATGAGTAGGTTGTGAAAATTTTCTCCCATTTTGTAGGTTGCCTGTTCACTCTGATGGTAGTTTCTTTTGCTGTGCAGAAGCTCTTTAGTTTAATTAGATCCCATTTGTCAACTTTGGCTTTTGTTGCCATTGCTTTTGGTGTTTTAGACATGAAGTCCTTGCCCATGCCTATGTCCTGAATGGTAATGCCTAGGTTTTCTTCTAGGGTTTTTATGGTTTTAGGTCTAACATTTAAGTCTTTAATCCATCTTGAATTAATTTTTGTATATACAAGGTGTAAGGAAGGGATCCAGTTTCAGCTTTCTACATATGGCTAGCCAGTTTTCCAAGCACCATTTATTAAATAGGGAATCCTTTCCCCATTGCTTGTTTTTCTCAGGTTTGTCAAAGATCAGATAGTTGTAGATATGCGGCGTTTTTTCTGTGGGCTCTGTTCTGTTCCATTGATCTATATCTCTGTTTTGGTACCAGTACCATGCTGTTTTGGTTACTGTAGCCTTGTAGTATAGTTTGAAGTCAGGTAGTGTGATGCCTCCAGCTTTGTTCTTTTGGCTTAGGATTGACTTGGCGATGCAGGCTCTTTTTTGGTTCCATATGAACTTTAAAGTAGTTTTTTCCAATTCTGTGAAGAAAGTCATTGGCAGCTTGATGGGGATGGCATTGAATCTATAAATTACACCTTGGGAAGTATGGCCATTTTCACGATATTGATTCTTCCTACCCATGAGCATGGAATGTTTTTCCATTTCTTTGTATCCTCTTTTATTTCATTGAGCAGTGGTTTGTAGTTCTCCTTGAAGAGGTCCTTCACATCCCTTGTAAGTTGGATTCCTAGGTATTTTATTCTCTTTGAAGCAATTGTGAATGGGAGTTCACTCATGATTTGGCTCTCTGTTTGACTGTTATTGGTGTATAAGAATGCTTGTGATTTTGCAAGGCTGGTTCAATATACGCAAATCAATAAATGTAATCCAGCATATAAACAGAACCAAAGACAAAAACCACGATTATCTCAATAGATGCAGAAAAGGCCTTTGACAAAATTCAACAACTCTTCATGCTAAAAACTCTCAATAAATTAGGTATTCACGGGATGTATCTCAAAATAATAAGAGCTATCTATGACAAACCCACAGCCAATATCATACTTAATGGGCAAAAACTGGAAGCATTCCCTTTGAAAACTGGCACAAGATAGGGATGCCCTCTCTCACCACTCCTATTCAACATAGTGTTGGAAGTTCTGGCCAGGGCAATTAGGCAGGAGAAGGAAATAAAGGGTATTCAATTAGGAAAAGAGCAAGTCAAATTGTCCCTGTTTGCAGATGACATGATTGTATATCTAGAAAACCCCATTGTCTCAGCCCAAAATATCCTTAAGCAAAGTCTCAGGATACAAAATCAATGTACAAAAATCACAAGCATTCTTATACATCATTATCTTATAAATATACTAGTGACTGCTAAGGTTGTTAGCCAGCATTTAAAATGTCTCATTTACTGTTTTATATTTTAGATGGAGCCAGATTTAAAAAAAGCAACCTGCACATTTTTCATTGCCAAAATATGTCAAGGTTAGAAACAGATGTTGCACTTTTTCTGCCAAAAATTTGAATGTGTTTATCATACCAAAGCTTAAAATTAATATAAAAGTAAGGCAATAAGGCAGACAGAAGGCTGATATCAATAATTTTGTTTTTGATGCATAATCCCCAAAATAATGTTATTTGTGTATCTTCTATAGAGAGAATGAAAAACTTTGACATTTATAAAATAAATTTTAAAAGAAAGATTTTTTTCCCTCTAAAGGTGGACTTACTGAATCATTCCGACCAAAAAAGGTATATATTGCATACAAGTAATAATCAAATAGTTGAGACATGAAATGAATAACATCAAAGGCAATTGGCTTAAGAATGTTCATCATCTGCATATATTTTCCTGAAAAGAAAAAAGAATAAAAAATTAAGCAGAACAAAATTAAAATCTGTTAGTCTATAATTATAAAAAGAAAATAAAATTATTATACTAAAATATTTAAATATAATGAAACATTGCACTCCCTCACAGTAGCCATGTCTCAAGTACTCAGTAGTTTCATGTGGCTAATGGCTATTGCATGGGACAGCACAGATTATGAACAGTTCTATCATCTTGGAAAGTTATATTGGAGAGTACTAATATAAATAATACAATGATATTTTCCTCTTACTACATTTTACTGTTTCCCAAATTTTTATGGAACTCCTACACTCTTCTACAACTGACACTGTACAAACAAACAACATTGGTTCTCTTTTCTAGGAGTTTCCATTTAAAATAATTTCTTTGAAAATGTGTAAGTTTAATAGAGGAAAATAAAATATATTTAAGAAAATATTTATTTTTCATAAGCTTATACATATATAGCAAAAGTAGAAAAGCAAGAAGAAAAATGATACATGCAAGATACTGCCCATTGCCCTGAATCCTAGCCCTGTGAAATCTTGGGTCAGAGGCCAAGAACATTTCTTTATCACTGTATCATTCAAGAGCTCAATATCCACAGGGTACAAAGAACATATCTTTCTCATTCCTTCTTTTGGAAGATGCCAATATCCCATTCCTTTTCCTCTAAATATATAATCAGATATACTCACAGAAAAACAAAAAACACAATGAATTAAACTTCTGCATTTACAAACTTGCTAATGTATTGGAAGGGTTCAAGAGGGATGGGAAGAATCAAATAACAAATAACTGCAAGTCCCCAGTTCTGTCTCTTTTTTGTGGGAAATAAGAGGAAAAGAAGCATATCTATTAAAAAATGCTCTATACTTTCTTCTACAGAAGATCTTAAAACAGGCCATTTGCTTAATTTCCAAATAAGCCAATAATTCAGGTGCTGGCTCTACTTCATCTTAACTGCTATAATTTTAAATTGGTACTATTTTTTTTTTTTTTTTTTTTTTTGAGACGGAGTCTCGCTCTGTCGCCCAGGCTGGAGTGCAGTGGCGCGATCTCGGCTCACTGCAAGCTCCGCCTCCCAGGTTCACGCCATTCTCCTGCCTCAGCCTCCCGAGTAGCTGGGACTACAGGCGCCCGCTACCACGCCCGGCTAATTTTTTTGTATTTTTAGTAGAGACGGGGTTTCACCGTGTTAGCCAGGATGGTCTCGATCTCCTGACCTCGTGATCCGCCCGCCTCGGCCTCCCAAAGTGCTGGGATTACAGGCGTGAGCCACCGCGCCCGGCCTAAATTGGTACTATTAAAGACATCATGACTCAAAACACATTTACTGCAGTACAAGAAATGACAAATGTACTCCAAAGGAAATGTCTACTATCAAAACCATTTAAGAACTCAGTACGTCTTTCTTAATTTATGTGAGAAATGATTTTAAATAATAGATGGTCAAGAAGAGAAACACAAATACAAATATACATCAAAACACAGTAAAAACTACTCAACTCAGATTTATTCTTATTCCTATTTTAAAATTCTTCTGTTTCACAATCATCCTTTGCAATTATTTCACACAGACTTTTTTTGAAAAATCACATTTGAAAAATAATTGAAATATACTGCTCCTAAAACACTCTGGATCATTATGCAGGTATTTCCTCAGCTACAAAACATACGGTTACTTAAGCTACTACTTGTTAACATATAAAATAATGCAACACTGTGAAGAAAAAATAATATACTACATTACTCAGTTAAAAACAAAAAAACAAAGATGAATAAGTAGAATGAGGTAGAATGCAAATAAGTAGGCTGGCATGCATCTAGAACACGAGGTCCTCTCCATTCCCGAAAAGATTAACCATCGTTTATATACCTAATCTTGAAAAAGGATATAAAAATCGATTATTAATAGGTAAAGGCGATTTTAAATGTGTATTCAGAAGAAAAAAATAGCTGTTCCTCACCACCTTGAAAAGAAAATTCAAACATAAGGATATTAATTTATTCATTCAACAAACGCGTTTTGAAGGCTTACTATATACTTGGCCTTGTATTAAGGAACAAGGAATTACACAGAGTCCCGGCTGTTGCACCTTAAAAGTCATACATGGAAGACAATAATCAATAAGCAGATCATCAGTATATTACAGAGTATAAGAATGAGGACTCTGTCTTTCCAGTTCAAGAGGACAGAACAGGCAGACAGCAGACGTTTGGAGGCTTGAGGAGGCTTATATGCCTCCTCAGATCTTACTGAATTAAAAGAGAACATTACAATGAATTAATTCCTTATCTATGAAGAGAAGAGGGTGAGAAGGCGAGGCTGGTAGGTTTGAGCACAAGAAAATGAAAAATGTCAAAACATTTCTAGACCAGAGGTTGGCAAACTTTTCCTGTAAAGGACCCAAGAGTAGATAGTTTAGGCTTTGCATACCGCACAGTCTCTGTGGCAACAATTCTGCTCTGCTGTCTTCTGTTTCAACTGCTCAACTATGCCACTGTAGCACAAAAGCAGCTACAGACAGACAATATGCAAACAAATGAGCATGGGTGTGCCAATAAAACTTTATTTACAAAAACAAGCAGCCAGCAGCTCAAAACATTTGACATCTCAAAACGTCTGTTGTAGATGACAGACAGTAGATGGGAACACGTTGATGGAAAAACATAAGCCAATAAAACCATAAGAGGGCCAAAAAGGAGGTGGAAGCTATTCACTAGGACAGTAACTACTTAGAATCAAGCTGGAACTGCAGGAGTCAGAAACGGGGCTGAAAAACGATCAAGCTACAGGTTCACATATGGGACAAACTGTAACAGTCTGCATTCCCCACCACCACCATTCCCCTCTCCTCTCCAGCAGTTAGAGGTGTAGGCTGCTAGAATTTACCCATAAAACAAAATAGAAACCCTTAAGGTTCCTCTCTAAAAGAAATGATAAGCTGGGAGCGGTGGTTCATGCCTGTAATCCCAGCACTTTGGGAGGCCGAGGCGGGCGGATCACGAGGTCAGGAGATAGATAGAGACCATCCCCGCTAACACGGTGAAACCCCGTCTCTACTAAAAAAAAGAAAATACAAAAAATTAGCCGGGCGTGGTGGCGGGCGCCTGTAGTCCCAGCTACGCGGGAGGCTGAGGCAGGAGAATGGCTTGAACCCGGGAGGCGGAGCTTGCAGTGAGTGGAGATGCGCCACTGTACTCCAGCCTAGGCAACAGAGTGAGACTCCGTCTAAAAAAAAAAAGAAAAAGAAAAAAAGAAATGATAAACTGAAAAAAAAAAAAGACGGGGGGCAAACGAACTTAAAAAAAAATAAAAAATTGAAAAGCTAAGGCTTCTACCTTATTCTGGGATTTAGAGAATCAGTCCCCATAAAGACTGCCAGTAAATCTACCCAAGCCCTTTCCTATATTTCACACAAAGTTCCGAGTCCGAATTTCTACTGAAGAGAAAGAGCCAGCTCGAACATAGTTCTAATTACTCACAAGAAACCCACAATGGCTTGTAAGCCTTCTATTTTAAATCTAAATAGCTAATCAAAAATCACCAGGCACACAAAGAAAACTCAGAGTGTGAAAATGAAAAGTTGATCCCAAAAGAAACAGAATAATTCAAGCTAAAAAGAAATATAATAATTAAATTTCTCAGTAATAAAAGATTATCCAAAAAAGAATATAAAAGACTTCTTAAAAGTAAAAATATAATATTTAAAATAAAAAGTTAAATTAAGTCTCCTAAAAGGTACAGCAAAAGACAATACTGTGGGAAACATTTGAGAAAATAGATATAAAGGACCAATTTGAGTAATGGAGGAAATTGTTTTAAAAAGAGAGAACAGAGAAAATACAGAGGTGGAAATTATCAAAGAAATACTAGTGTCAGTAATAGTTGAGGAACACAGGAGCCTTCAGATCAAAAGAGTCCACATACTATCAAACACATTGAAAATGAAATCATAGCTAGACACATCAACATAAAATTCTGGATCAAGGAAACAAATATTAAAAGTTTTCAAAGAGAGAGAAATTCATCTGCAACAGAATAGAATGCTAGAAGTTCCAGTTCTGAAGAAAATAATTTTTAATCTACAAGTCTATTCATAGCTAAATTGTCATTCAAGTGAAAGAGAAAAAAAAAAGACATTTTCAGACTGACACGAATTCAAACATTTACTTCTCATCAGCCTTTTCTGGGAAATAACTAGACCATAGGGAAGAGATACACAGAGGGACTGGCCAAGAAACCAAGTAGCAGCATGGACAAGAACTAGAAACAAGAGAACGAACAGTGGGCCTGCCTTAGCCAATTCATCAGTGGGAGACACAGAGAGAAGTGTGGTTCCCACACTTGAACCCTTCAAATACATTAGCAAGTTTGTAAATGCAGAAGTTTAATTTACTGTGTTTTTTTTCTGTGACTATATCTGATTATATATTCAGAGGAAAAGGAATAGGATATTGGCATCTTCCAAAAAAAGGAATGAGAAAGATATGTTCTTTGCACCTTGTGGATATTGAGCTCTTGAATGATACAGTGATAAAGAAATGTTCTTGGCCTCTGACCCAAGATTTCACAGGGCTAGGATTCAGGGGAATGGGCCGTACCTTGTGTGTATCATTTTTCCTCTTGCTTTTCTACTTTTGCTATATATGAATAAGCTTATAAAAATAAATATTTTCTTAAATATATTTTATTTTACTCTATTAAACTTACACATTTTCAAAGAAATTATTTTAAATTGAAACTCCTAGAAAAGAGAACCGATGTTGTTTGTTTGTACAGTGTCATTTGTAAAAGAGTGTAGGAGTTCCATAAAAATGCTGGAAACATGGGGGAGAAATTTTTTCCATTGTGGATATGACAAGAGAGAAAATGAGTTTCTCCTATATTGAAGATTTTTAAAAATTAAGGTTTGTCAGTCCAACATCTATTGGGTTCCTACAAAAGTAAAAAGCACTTGGCCAGGTGCCACATATAGATGCTACAAAAATGATTTAAGGCTCTCTTCTATAGGGGTTTATAATCTGATGGGACACAAGCAGGAATAGATTCTGAGTTGGAAGAATATTCATTATTTTATTTCAGTACACTAATTTGAGACACCATCAATGAATATAAATGGCATATAAAGCCATAATAGCACATAAGACAAACTGGAAAAGCTATAAAAGAGGCGTAAAGGAAAGTTGGTTCAGCTTGGGCAATTCAGAAAAAGGTACTGAATAATGAAGTGAAGACCAGAGTAAAAAATCAACAAGTCCATTACCTAAGTGCCTGGCTACCAGGTTTATTTTTTAAATATTATATCTCAGCCCCCCAAATCTCCAATGTTGTTTTCTTGTGACATGTACTGAGGGATGGTGCTTTTGGGATTATCCTCTCAAAAGATCAGGCTGTACATAAAGCTAGCAACTCAGAAAATATTTTTAAATGTTAAAAATATAAATTCATGTAAATAATATCTAAATATATGTTATCTCATAGTATTATCCTATTAGTATATAGATAACATATAGTATGTATTATATAATATATCATTATTATATGATTATAAACAGAAATACTAGAATGTAGTTTAAAGTGAATGACAAACTTTTTTTCCTTAAACATTACATATGAAAATATTTTTTTCTTAAACGATAACTTAATCATAAAACATGGTTTTAAAATTTCAAAACACATAAGAAAGTATTGTGATACTTCTGTAAGACTGCACTTATGACTTCAATGAACTCTATAACTTTATCCAAGTATCCGAAACAAGGATACTTTAAAAACAACTTATTCAAAAAAACAAAAGAAGCTACTATTTTAATTATCTGTTATGTAATCAAGAATTTTCCTGTTAAATACACATTGTTTTACATTTCAATTAGGAAAATAACAGAAAGGAACCAATGGTTCTCAAAGTGTGGTCCCTAGACAAGCTGCATCAACATTACCTGGAAACTTGTTAAAGGTGCCCGTTTTCAGGTTATACCCTAGACCTACTGAATCAGATACTCTGGGAGTGGGGGACAGCAATCGGTGTTTTGTTTGTTTGTTTATTTGAGACAGAGTCTTGCCCTGTCACCCAGGCTGGAATGCAGTGGTGCGATCTCAGCTTGCTGCAACCTTGGCTTGCTGCAACCTCTGCCTCCTGGGTTCTCATGCCTCAGCCTCCCAAGTAGCTGGGATTACAGGAGTGCCCCACCACATCTGGCTAACTTTTGTATTTTTAGTAGAGACAAGGTTTTGCTATGTTGGCCAGGCTGCTCTTGAACTCCTGACCTTAAGTGATCCATCTGTCTTGGCCTCCCAAAGTGCTGGGATTACAGGTATGAGCCACCAAACCTGGCCAGCAATCTGTGTTTTAACAAGCCCTCTAGGTGATACTGACGCATGCCAAAATTTAAAAATCAAAGGCTAGATCACCATAAAAGATGAATAAAGCAATAAAGCACAGTCCTTCTTTCTTCTTGATAGGCCCTCATGCCTTGGTTTTCAAGACCTCTGCTTCACCTCCTAATTTTCCTCCTGCCTTTCTGCTGTTGATTCATGACCTTCTTCACTGACTGATCTTGCTGTTTGCCCTTCCAGTGTATCCATATCCACTGCTGTTTCCTAGGTTTCCACTCAGCTATCTTGTGTTGCATGTTTTTGTGTGTACTAAGTGGGTAGGAAGGATAGTAGAGCTTCTGTCTGGTTTTCTATGAACTCAAATTGTTAAGAGCCTCTGCCAAGATAAACTCATCCACTAACCTTTTGAGTTCATAGAAAATCAGACAGAAGTCCTAGTCCTTCCTAGTCATTTTAAAACAATGACTCAAATTATGTATCCTGATCATGTTTTTTCTCCTGACCTCCACATCCATCTATGTAACTACCTATAGACTATTTCTACTTAAATGTCCCAGAGGTACCTCTATATGTCCAAAGTCTACCCTACCATCAGCTCGGAAAACTTGGTCTTCCTCTCATCTTCCCTTTTTCATTTCTGGCATTATAACTGGTTAATCACACAAACCTAAAATCTGAGTGATCGCTCATCACTGATTCACCAATTCTGTCTGTTGTATTTCTAAAATCTCTCTAATCCATCTTCTTCTCTATATTACAATGGCCACTGCCATCCATATCCAGGCTTATGTCCTCATCATCCCTTGCCTGGGAGACTTCGACAGTCTGCCATCCAGTCTTTGACCTTCTCCAGTTTCCCCTTAGCCAAAGTCAATCCCTTATTTACACTTTTTTTAAAAACAGCAAATCTGCTGGGGTCTCTCCCCTGTTAGAAATCCCTTAAGGAGCTTATGTCCAAGCTGCATAGGACAGTCTTTGAGGCCTTCTCATATCCTGTTCTTGCCCATCTTTCTCGTCACATCTCCTCTGCTTCTGCCTCCAGGCCCCGTCATGTTTCTTACATTCCAGCAAACTAGACAACTGGAGTCTCTGAATACACCATGTCTTGCACATGTTCTTTCTGTCCAAAATGCCTTTACCAACTTCATCTATGAGAACCTATTCATCTTTCAAACTCAATTAGGGTGTCAGCCCCCATAGTGAGTCAGTCCTTTCACTTCCTACCCAAAAAGGAAAATTAATCATCATTCTTTCTCTTGCCTCTTTTCTGTTTATTTATGCTTATAACAACACACTGTAAATTTTTTTATTTTGTATTTATTTCCCTTGTTGAACTCCTTAAGTACAAAGTACAAAGACTATGGTTTCTTCATGACTGTAACTCCAACAGCTAGCCAGAAACAAAGTAGTGACTCAAAAAAAAAAAAAAAATCTGGTGGACTAAAACTAATGAATGCAATATACATGGCAAAAAAAGAACTGATTTCCTTAATGTTGAAATTAAAACCTATAATTTCCTTATTATATAAAAATGAGCAGTGGATATGAATAAGTAGTTCGCAAGTAAATAGAAATGTCTTTTAAGCATATGAAAAGATGCTTCAATTCACTCATAATTAAATACATTTTTGAATGAGATGCCATGTTTAACCTATCAGACTAGCAAGTACCCAAAGCTGGAGGATACACAGTGTTGCTGAGACTAAGAAAAGAGCTACCCTCAAATACTGCTAATGAATGAGTAATTTAACAGAACTCTTTTAGTAAGCTCGTTAGTAACCTCATTGGTAAATTGAGAATGTCCATCAAAACTGGAAATGTATATACTCTTTGATCCAGCGAGAGGAAGTATTTATAGGAATTTGTTCTATAGCTCTATCTGTATATACACAAAGATATTTCTTCAAGGATACTTGCTGTGGCAGTTTGTAGTATGAAATGACTTAACCTATATGTTGAAAAGTAGAAGATGTATAAATTGTGGCACTTATAATATTACATCTATACAATAGGAAAAAAGAATGAAATCCACACATACTAAGATAGGTAATACATTAAGATATTTTAAGTGTAACCTTAAGATATTTTAAGTAAAAAATCCAGATAAAAAACAGTATAAATAGTGTAATCCAATTTTTGAAACAAAACAACAACAAAAAAAAATAGGAGAGAGGAGATATACGTATTAAATATATTTGTACTAACACTAATGTTTCCAGAAGAAAACAGGAGAAACTGAGTCGTTTTGTCTGAGGAAGGAGACTTGCAGCTCAGGGGCTCTGCTTATACCTTGGGGTATTTTAATTTTTAACCATTTTTATGCATCACCTTTCAATTTAAAATGCTCAATGATAAAGAATATGCCAGCAAACTAAACTGCTGAGAAACTTCAGCAGTCTGTCATCTAGTATTTGACCTTCCCCCAATGAAAAGAATGTCCTAATGAAGGAGTGGATCTCTTGTCTCCCATGCCTGTGTTCTCTCCACCACATAAGCTGCATCTCAGGCACATTATACCTAAATATCCCTTAGATGCACATATCCTAGTTTCATTTTAAATACTGATGCATGTGCTAGGGTGCTAGGGTATATTTTTTCTAGCTACTAAAGTGGTAATTTTGTTGTTGTCGGCAGTTCTTACAAGCATGGACTTCGGTAATCTAGCTCCTGCTCCTCAGACCTATCACACCTGCTCACAAGCTGCTTCCAGGAGAGAGAACCGTGAATACCAAGGCTATTTCACTGATGAGACACATTTCCTAAAATTTCTCTTTCACTGTCTGCAAGAAACCATCAGGATGACAGAATTTTCTCTTTATATAATACAAGCAACTGTTCTGATCAGTCCTCTCCACTAGTGCAAAGCCTCCCTGAGCCTTTCTAATAAATTTAGTTACCACCTGGGGTAAGGAAGCCCCATTAACACTCTTTTGTTTACGCTCTGCTAATTATCTGCCAAGTAAATACTACTTGAAAAGGACATTTTAAATATGCCTTTAATGTTCTAATATGGTTTCCCAAATACTCAATAATTAGTTCCTTCATCTTCTCAAGCACCAAAAATTAATCTGTCTTATTTACACAACCGTACTTCTCCCTTTGTAGGAAGAAGCATGACCTCTGCCAGTTTATAATCTTCAGGCACTTCTATGCAATAACAACAGCGGATGGAATAGTGCATTTGCTAGTCAGAGGCCTCTGAGACAGTGGCTTCCTTAAAGTTCTGTTTTGTATATATCTAAAAACTGAAGATAAAAACATCCCAGGGAGAGAGAAAATGATAGGCATAAAAGTCTACTGGGGATCCCAACTGGGGTGATAATGGCAGCACCTAATCCCAGTCCTAAATGAGAAGATATAAAAGTTAAATTGTCATACTCGGCATTGTTTCCTAATTGCAAGTCCAGTAAAAGATATGGTAGTGGAGAAAGCTGAAATTGCAATAGTCAAATTCTCTTCACAGAGTAAGGCTTTATTCAGGACTGTGCCATACTTTACTTTACTTTAAAGGGTCTTGAATGTGGCTTTTCTCAGTTCCTACAAACCCACTGTTCAAAAGCAAGGCCCACTATGTTGATCAGTAATCCTCATACAAAAATTTGTTGTTACTAACATCTGAATTCAGCACCAGGAACATATTTCTACCATTATTATAAAGGCCTGTATCTTTTTCTCAGATAACGAGGATAGTGGTATATATTGTTTCTTCAATTCCCTTATGCCTACCAAGAAGTTAAGCATTGTATTTGATGTCTGCATTAAATATGATATGATAAAGCATGATGTGCCCACTCTTCAACTTTGTCTTAGCCTTGTATTTTATTTTATTTGATTATAATGAAAATATGCCTTCAGCGTAAACAGCAACATGACTACCTCCAGCCCCTTTTGAACTAGGTAAGGTAAAAAATATAAACAACTGCTTAGATGTGTTTGATTATATTATTTTTCCCAATTCCCTGTAAGAGCAATATACAGCCCTGCCCACTTCCCTTGACTTGCAGTGCTTCCTGCGGCAGAAGCATACTTCTCCCCTCCCTTTGCCAAGCCTGACTTGCTTTGGCCATGACATGTCAGAGGAAGTCAAGGGTGACACATGGAAGCAGAAGCTTCAGGAGTCATAACATAGTTTGCTTTTGCTCTTCTCCCCATGTTCCAGATTGGTTGGTACTATTCTTTCAACCTACATCTTAGAATGAAGAGACACACGGAGCAGAGCTGCATATAAACAGGAGACAATGCGTATCACGAGTGAAAAATAAAACTTTGTGGTTGAACGTCTTGATGCACCAACAGTTGCTTGTTACTTCAACATAATCTAGCAAAAGCTGACTACATCTCAAGGAATGTGTTCGGACATTGAAAACTGCTGAGTCTAGAAGGCTAAGGAGGATGACAATGATTCTGAAAGGTCTGAATTTCTATCAGTGAGGACAAGATAAAGGAACTGAGCCCATGGAGCCTGAAAAATGGATTGTGGGGTGGTCGGTATGAGAAAAGGAAGCACGATAACTACCACCACATATCTGAAAAGTGATCACATGGAAGAATAGAAGAATTAGAAGAAATGGAAGATAGAGGAAATAGAAGAATAGAAGAAATAGAAGATAGAAGAAATAGAAGAATAGAAGAAATAGAAGAAAAAAATGCACGAACTTATTCTTCTTGCTTCTAAGGGCATAACTCTTAGACCAAAAGGACAAACCAAAGGCTAGAATCACAGAGAGACAGGTTTTGGTTTACCTTAGGGAAGATACTTCTACTAATGAGATCAGTCTAATGATAGAATGAGTAGTCTTGCAAACCACTGTGTTTCCAATGACTGGGAGTCATGAAACAGAAGCTAGACAGCTACCATGTATGAGAGACATTACAGAAAGACAACCGACTTCATGGCAACTTACACCAATGACCACTCAGCACTCTCCCAATTCTGATTCTACAAATTCTCGAGAGTTATTTCTGACACTATGTTCAGTCAGTTCTCTTGGAAGAAGAAGAAAAGCTTAGCTCCCTGGCAATAATTAGCCACAGAATAGCTTTTTAGAATCTATCCTTTTTTCTGAGCATCATGAAAAGGTATACCTTTCTGTTCTTCTCAATTCAGTAATATTTTTTGCTCTTTCTAGAGAAACCGTGACTCCTAAAAAGCATTCTGTACATTTTATCCTATTCATTAATTAAATTTAAGAATTATCTTAAAGAACACAGACTATTTCAACAGAGCTAAGGTTAATCAAACTAGGCAATAGGTAAATACCATCTCCATAGATAGAATATAGAGATTTTTATGGAAAACCACTAAAATTCCTGCTTGGAACAATGAAGTTTAATAGGAGAAGACATCTCTATAACTTATTTGTCAAATACATAGACTTATTTGTGAGATACAAAGGCTAAAAGCATACAAGATGTTGAAATACTGATTTTAAAAAAATCCACATCATCCTAAAACCTGAATATTTAAAATATCATTTCTTCATATTGTTTGCCTTCTACAAAATCATCAATAAAGGTCTTATCTGTTACAAAAACAACATTTCCTATAATCTGAACATTTAGCTTGTAAATCCCTTGTGTCTGAAAATGCCAGAAAGTCACTATTCACTCTGCCTGACAGAAGATGGTAAAGACCTATGAAACAACTAAGTACAAAAATATTGTATAAATGTGAAACTGGTACTAACTTATCTTACACATACCTCTAACCTACCTAGAGAATTTTTCATCGCATTTCAATTAACTGAAATATTTTAGAAAAATTGTAAGATACAAAGACTTAATAAACAGGTAACTGAAAAAGAAAAACTGGCATTACTATTAGTATTATAGTATTTGGAACATTTAAAATGAGAAGCATTGACATATGATAACCTTAAATCCCTCATTGCATAGAGCACTGGAGTATACAAGACAATAAAAACCACAAGTAAAAGTCATTCGGTAACAAACTAATTTAACTGTTATAATTTTTTTTAAAGGTGTAGCTACTTACCAACAAGTCTTATGACGTTCAATGTTGTATTTGTTAAGATAGGTGCATTCACTTTATTTAGACTGTAATCTGATTTCTTCCTGCTTTTTAGAGTTTCCCGAGAAACACTTGATATGGAAAAACAAAACAGAGTTGCTAGAGTTGTCAAGTAATAAACCAATAAGTTAGTCAGATAGGTCCCTAGCCTTTATTAACTAATTATTTAATGAAAATCTTACTATGCATTAGGTAAAGATATAGAAATTAACTTCTTATAAAATTTACAATCCATAAGGGAAATAAGTAAGCAAAAAAATAAAGTACCATAATGCATTTCTTCGATTATAAAACATTATCAACCACTAAAAAAGCTACATCTCTTTAAAAAACTGATTTTCCAGGATAATAATACATCTAGGTGCAAATGTACTGTTTCTTGATTTCAGAAACTTATGAAAAAATACCCTCCTAAGAACGTGAATTAAGTACAGAATATTGATGGCAGTATTTGGGGTTACGGGGCAGCATAAGGTTCAAAAGAAAAGTAAAAGCTATATGGTCAGCACAGAAAAAAGGGCCGGCATAAAATAGGGTCAGAGATAAGAGAGAACAGAGTGCGCTCAGAAAAGTACAAGGAGTTCACCACGTTCGCATGTAGAAGAAGTGAACAGAGGGAAAAGTGACAAGAAAGGAGGCAAGTAAAGGCCAGATATCTCTGAAAGCAATCAAACCTGAGGGATATGAACCTTATCTTGAACACAGTGGTGAGTCACTAAAAGCTAAGCAGAAAAACAGCATGATTAAATTTGTAACTATGAAAAAAAAAACCCCTAAATTTAGATCTAAGAGTTGTTTGGAATGGGGCAAGCCTAGAGACAAGAATCCAAGGTAAAGGAGTTGATTTAATAATCTGGCACAGAGATAACTTTGGCATAAACTAGAATGGTAGTGGTAAAATACAAGAAAAATTGGTCAATTCAAGAGACACAAGTTAGAACTGATAATATCTATTAATTTATTGGCTTCAGTTACTAATTTGTTCAATTCAAACTTCTTAAGGGTAAAAAGTTTAGGGGGCTCCAGTAACCCTACCAAAAATGGAGGTATATACACATGTACTGGCAGACACTATCTTACTTGTACATTTCAATTCAAATAGACCTTTCCTTTTGGCCAAAATATTCCCAAAACACATCTAATAAAGAATTCCAACAAAATAGTTCTATTCAGTTCACAGTAGATCATGCTGACACTTAATATCATACATACGCAAAAACCAATAGAACAAATTTTTTCAATTAAAATAGCTACAACTACGTGAATTGCTCACTTTTGAAAACAGAATTATTTCAGTCGAGATTTCAAGTTAAACAGTATTAAATAGGTAGCTTAGGGTTAAACGATAAGAATATACTTATCATTAAGAATCTATCATTAAGAAATCTATCATTAAGCAAAAAGTATATCTATAGTCACTAAATGTATGATAGTCATGAAATCAAGTCATTTTAACATTCCAGAATCAGGCCCATTTAACTGGCAAAAGGTAAGAAAAAATTCTCTTATAATTATCATAGTTTTGAAGAGGTCAGTTTATCATAAAACAAAACTCAACCACTAATAGGACACCTTGATAGAAGGTTCAAATAGTGAACAAAAATGACATAGGGGAAATAAGTGGCGACTTTCTGTGTTTATAAGATTGAAGCAAGAACTCCACATACAAAACAAATGACCATTTTCTCCTTGAGGATTTTTATTTATCTATGTAAAGCATAAATGGCCACCAAAGGCAGGATTGATTTTATAAATCTAAAGGCTTTTTCCTCTGCAAAAACTAATCTCTTTGATTATGCCCAATATTTTCAACAAGATAATAAAGTAATTTTAACAGATTTAAACAAATCACTAACTTTGTGATACCATAAAAAAGGAACTAGAATCTTGCTACAAAAAGCAATGTCAAACAAACTGTATAACTCAAAGGAAAGCTACATTAACACTAGCCACTTAAAAGTTTTTAAATGGCTAAATCAATTTCTTTTTTGACACATTAACAATCCAGTTCACAGTTAGATGAACTGATCTGTGAGATACCAGCAAAGGTTTTGCAAGGCAGAACTTTTCATATAACTATTTTAGTTTTCCTGAAATTCAGTTATGAAATGTTAAGAGGAACAACACATTTTTAGCCTTCCAGGAATCATTTTTTAAAACATACTAACTTCTGTCAGGTGACATTATAAGTACCAAAAAAAATAATTTTTGTTTCTTCTTAACCTTAAAGGAAATCCTATATGTTAAGAGCACAAGATAAAATGCTAAATACCACACAATTTAAGAACAATCACCTTTTCACAGGACCATCTCCTGTCTGCTCATCCACATAGTCTCGTTTGAGTTCCTCAGGAACATCACTGTCACTGTCATACTCTTGATAGGCACTCTTTTCTTGTTCATCAGATTCATACTGAAGAAAACACAGGTTATTAAAAAATGAGTATAAAGGGCCTCTTTTCGTGGGGTGTCTCAACACAGTGAAAGTACTCAGTTTTATAAGAAACAGCTAAATACAAGAAAATTCTTAATTTAGCTTTAATGTTGTCACCAAGAATCTAATTATTCTTCCATTGTCTTCATCATTCTACCTCAATCAGCACAAAAGAAAAATATTACACCTATAAAAGCTTGAAAATGTGCAACAAAATCAAATCGCCATAAACCAAAACCTAACAAACATTCCACTAGGCCTAAAGAGTATACATTCGCATTTTTTTTTCTTAAAGTCTCTCAGAAGTTTCACCATACTTATTTCCAATTTGCTAATAAAACTCATTAAAAAGAGGTTCAGTATCCAATTCTGGCATTCTGGAAGTATTACTTCAGCTTAATAAACACATGCAACACACATGCTGATGTTCTAATTCACTATAAAATTTAATTCCGAGGGCAGCTTAGAAAATTAAGCTTAGAACACAGGGACCTGCTGAGAATGAGGACAAAAATGGTGGATTTACTCTTGAGACAAAGGGTGTCTTCCTAACATTTTCATCATCTTTATGGCACCATGGCCCAATGCCAGCATGGGAAAGACAGTGGAATTCATGCACACAGTAAAGGAAGCAGTGACAGCACTTTCATCATCATCATCATCATCATCATCATCATCATCATCTATTAATGTCATAGATTAATACGATTAAATGGCTAACATTAATATCATTAAGTAATAGCTAACACTGAGTTTTTAACCAAGTATTATGCTAAGTGCTTTCATGAATTATCTCATTTAATCATACAGACACTTCTATGAGGAAGTTTTATCTCCACATGACAGTTGAGGAAACCAGTATGATAACAACATGGAAAGAATTTAGCCCCCTAATTCAACAACTATTTTTTGAGAGTCTGTTAATAAAAAGCACTATGAAAGGTCGTATTTAAATGTGGACCCTGATTCTCAAGGACATAAGTTGCACCTGGAAAGATCAGATCACACATTAATAACTGCAAACAAGCCTTACAGGTACTCCTTTATACTTATACACAATGTGATCCTGATGCTATGCAGAAAGGTATTCTACATAAACTAGGATGTCCTGATTACAACAACAGAGGTTTGTGACCACACCGTATCATAGATACTCATTATTTGAGGATTCAATGTTTGCAAATTTGCCTACTCACTGAAATTTATTTGTAACCCTAAAGTCAATACTTCTGATATTTTTGGAGTCAGTCATAAACGTGCAGAACAGTGAAAACTTTGAGTCATCCAACATGCATGTTCCCAGCTGAATACAAACAAGGCATGCTCTGCCTTCTTGCTTAGGCTCTCATACTATAAACAAGTTTCCTTTTCTTGACCTATTTAGTGCCAAGTGCTTTGTATTTTTGTGCTTTTTGTTGGTGATTTAACTGTTTAGAATGCCACTGCAAGTGTTGCGTTGAAGTGCTGTCTAGTGTTTCTAAGTACAAGAAGGCTGTGATGTGCCTGAGAAACAAAATATGTGTGTCTGATAAGCTTCATTTAGGCAAGAGTTACAGCGTTGTTGGCTATGAATTCAGATTATGTACTGATGGGCTGATAAACATGTCGTAACCCGAGGCTCACAGGAACCTAATCCTATATTTGCTCTGGGAGTAATGGTTCAGTATTTGCTAATTTAGTATTCACAGCAACTTTATAGAACACACTGCTGCAAATAATGAGAATCAAATGCTATCTAAGTTTTAATTAATGAATCACTTTTATAGAGAGATATATTATTCCAAAATAATTGGAATGACTTTAAATTCCTCTCGGTTAAGCCAACTTCACAGAGGCAAAATGTCACAAAGAATCACTGAATCATAATTTTAAATATGGCTTACTATGAAACAATTTAAACTTAATGAATTTTGTCTTCACCAAATGAAAAATAAATTCTAAAACTAACATAAAATATAAAGACAAATCCTTCAACATATTTTGTCACATCTGAATGGTTTTCACTTTAGCTTCATCAAATCAAAAATAAAAATCATATTGGGTCATTATGGAAATTATGAAGATCAGAAGAAACCATCAAACAAAATATTAAGTCAAGTAAAATACTGTGAAAACACCATGCAGGAACTGTGAAGCAAGCATTCCTCTCCCTGTAAATATGGAGAAACTGAGGGTCACAAAGTTAAAATAATTTGCCAAGGGCCACACAGCTGATAAATAATAAAGATGATATTCATTATTTGCCTTCAAATCCTTTCCACTAACTCACACTACGTCTAGTTAATATTGTTTTTGAGGTCCTCAAAGTGTTGTTAAAACATTGTACTTCTAAATCTCAAAAAATATCCCTGCCAGGCAACTATGCAAGACATTACCACTTTCTCTTAGATAAAGGGACATGGAACAAAATGAATCAGTGACCCATAAAGGGTGTCGAGAAAAAGGGTAGATGATATCTATTCCGTCATCTCACAATATATCACATAATATTCACATAATATATCACGTAAATATTCAGTGAAGAAATTACACTACTACTTGATTAGCAACCTGATAAGAACATCATGTAATAAGAACATAAAGCAAACATAAAGGGAAAATTTACTATTCAAGAGGACAAGGTCAACAAAGCATATTGTAAAGTCATCATCTATAAATGTAATAGCATAGGTACATTAAGTATACAGGCAGGCAGGGTGGTAGTAAATGGATACGTAAATGTAGTGAATTGCCTTGTTCATTGAGTAGAACAGTTTTAAATAAAAAAAACTCACTTATGTTTCACATACACCACATACCCCATTAGAAGCTAAGACATCTTCTGTTTCTTCATCTTTGTGGTTGGCCTGAATTTCAAATGGATTCCCACCACTACAGTACTGCTCAAACAAGGTCACTGTTTTTGAAGAAGTTGAGACTGGCTGTTTACTAGGTGAAACTGATGGGGAGCGAGACTGTTCCATGAATTTAAATTCCTAGATGTTAAAAAAGGAGCCAGATACCCTTTAGCAACAATAAAATTCTAGTACATAAACCGAATCCCTCAATATACATGTAGAGTTAGTAGAAAAACAACATCTTGATCTTCAGTTTATTGACTTTTAAATCTTTCAAGTTATCTAAAAGCACAAACTTGGAAATACACATCTAAAGGTTTTCCTAAAGACAACTCAGTGAATGGTATCACTTAAAACAGTATCATCTGCATCAAGCTACTTTTGGCTTCCTTTAAGAAACTGCAGAGATCATTTTTTAAAATAGCTTAAGAAATCTGAATGATGTCTTCTAAAAATTTTAACAGAACAGCAAAAATCCTAATCAATAAAGTCATTTATGAAAACTAATTGTTAAACACTTCTCTTTTTCATATGCTTGCACCACTTAAGATATTCTGTACAAATACATCAGAAATAAAGTATGAAGTACATATCTGTGTTACATTGACGCCTACAAACTTTCATTTACTTTTCGCTATATACCAAGAAACAGACAACACAAACATATATGCCAAAGTCATATGATGTGTCTTCTACTCCTAGCTAAGCTAAAGAGTTGTAAGACCCAGTCTAAGTCATGCATTAACCACATGAGGAAACTGAGGCAGTCTGAAGGGATTCAGTGCAAAGTTCAACATCACACAGCTAATTAGAGGAAAAGTTGGAATAATCTCTAAAGTTCCTTTGAATTACAAAAATCTTGATTTAATGATTTATCACAAAATTTAACAAACATTTTTCTTTTATCTAAACAGAATAATCCCAAATTTAAATTTATTCATTTTCAATGATATTCTTCAAAGGTATTCTTAAAATTCTTGAAAGGTACATTGGCTTGTTGTATTAAATGATATATGTGTTTATTTTCCTTTTGCATTTCAACTATACATTTAATCATATATATTATAATGCCTAAGAATCATGCCATTATTTTTATAATTCTAAATAAGGAGTGAATATACATCAATGAGACTAATTTTTAGAAAATCAAATCCACATGAATGCATGTCAGGTGAACACTAAGCTGTGAATAGTTTTCAAGGTAACTACTTTAAAGGAGATAATGTTCACCTAGATGGGAATGCTTCAACATGCCTTTTTTAAAAAACATGTCTTACAATTATACTAAGTTTGACAACGTGACAGCACACACACACAGTCTGATGGTTAAAAAGGAGTTCAAATAAAATTATTTAATAGATATTCTAAAATTTATGTTAAACTTAGAATTCTAAATGATGTTAAGGAATTACCTTAAATCTTTGAGAATTCTTAAATCCTATGTTAATTTAATGTTAATGCTTATGTTAATACTAATTAACATTAACATTAATTTTGCTGTCTTTAAAGCATTTATTAATTGCTATGTTCCAGGGTTTTTAATATTTCTATAATAGGAAAACAATATAATAAAACTGGATAAGAAGCTATTATACAATATGAGCATAAAGACAATCCCTATCAAAAAAAAACTTGTAATTATGTATTCTTTACATTTATCCAGAATAAGAAAATTGCTTTCTAGAAAGCCACTCCTTCCAAAGGCAGAAACTAAACACACCATACTTTCTGAACAAGGATCTAACTATATGCACTGCATTTTGACACTTGATATTTCCAGAACACAATCTTTCACACAAGAATATTTATCTACAATGTGTTTCAACCAAGGGAAAAATCAAACCAATTAAAGACTTTTTCAAAGACTGCTTATTCTGTAAGTATTCCAGGAATTGATTAACTAATACAAATTAGTTAAGAGTATTTTTTATAAGTGCCTCTTTTATTTCTGAGGCATTTTTTCATTACAGGCAAATTTAAGAATTGCAGCACAAATTAGGAACCTACTAGTCCCTTTAAGAAATGAAAAATATTCTACAAATATAAATAAGCATTTGTATTAAACTATGCCAAAATATAGCTAATTGATTATCTGCAAAACTTAAATACAGCAGTCACCCTTTTCTGAATTCAAAACAAACAAAAAATATCATTTTAACTGTAACTCTTTTTAGGCAAAAGAGATTTCCTAAAGTATGTAAACTGAATTTTGTAAGACTGATTTTTCGCAACCATAAAAGGATCATTCCTTTAAAAAGAGGCTGGCTACTAATGACTTTCAAGGAAGGAAGATAAGAAACTGCTCCTTAATTTATTTTATAAATGTTTTCATATATTTCTGGATTTTTTTTTTCAAAAAAAAGGGTAAAATACATTACTAAAAGACAGATTTCTTTGTTCTTAAGAAACACTTACATGAAGTTGCAAGATGCTGAAATTTGACTTAACAGGACAAAGTTCCCAAGTCTCATTCTCTAAGAACATTCTCAGTTCATCGAGCCGTGTTCTTAAAAAAAGAAAATGAACACTCCAAAAAGTGAGAAGAAAAGTACACCGCACACAAGAATTGAGGAAATAATGTACAATACAAATAATTATAGGATTATTGTCATGATCATAATCAACTTTGAGAACCCATTCTGATTAACACAGTAAACAGAAATGTTTACTTTTATTAGTTAATATCTTATCATCCTTGAGAGAAAAACTCTCTCAAATGTTTACTAAACTAAGTATTTTTACTATATTGCAAAAGTAATGCATAGGAAATGACAGTTTTATTAGAGGACTAAATTAAAAGCTTGTCTCCAACTCACATACTTAAAATATCCTTAGCTGATTATATATTGATGCTAAAACATCAAGAAAAAATTTACAGATTATATGAGATCATAAATACCAACATATTATGTTAAACAGCACAGGTCTGAACCATACCTAGTGAAGCCACAATAGCAAGATAATTATCACTTTCTGAAAATGTTTAGCTCAGTGCCTGTCTCTATATAGCATTTACAAATTAAATTAGCAGCTAAGACACGTATATACTTGACATTACACTAATCACTTACACCATACTGATCTCTTTTCTTTCTTTAATGCTATTATTCTTACTGTCTATCCTGAGTAATCAGCACATGATATAGGCAGTCCCAGAAAAACAAACCCTTATTTTCAGTTGACAAAAGGGCCAGTGCCTACCCTGTTCTTCCTCTTTCTACCACAAGTTGTTACTACCATGCTAAAAACAAAATCTAGATTTTTTAAAATCCACAGGTTCAAAATAAAGAGACAATAAATACATGAATCCGTAAAAATCAGGAATTGCTCCAAATACTAGAGTTAACAGACAAGGACTTTAAGATAATTATTATAAGTTAAATAAAATAGAAAAAAATGTATAAAATGGATAGAAAAGAGAATTTCAAATAACTGCAATAAGAAAAACAATAAAAGAATCAAATAGACATTTGAGAACTGAAAAATATACTTCCAATTAAAAAATGATTGGATAAGTAAAACAGCAGTCTAGAGGTGGCTGAAGACAGGATTCATGAACTCAAAGACAGATCAATAGAAAATATCTAAACTGAAGCAAAAATTTGAAAAAAAAAAAGGAAGAAACAGAAAAGATCATAAGAGAGATGTGAGATAGTCAAAACATTTATTATGCAGGCAATTGGATAGAAAGGACAGAGAACAAGCAAAAGCAATATTTGAAGACATAATGGCCAAGAATTCCCAAAAGTGACTGTGCTCATAGCTCATACCACATACAAAAATTACCTCAAGTGGATCACAATCCTAAGGTAAGAACTAAAAGTAGAAAACTTGACAACTCAACAACAGAAAACAAATAACCCAATTCAAAATGGACAAAAGCTTTGAACAAACATTTCTGTAAAGAAGAAACACAAAAGGCCAATGAGCACCTTAAACGATGCTAAACATCATTAGTCATCAAGGAAATGCAAACCCAAAACATAATAAGATACCACTTCATGCCTACTAGGACAGCCATAATCAGAGACAGAAAACAACAGGTGTTGACAAGGTTTTGGAGAAATTGGAACCCTCATACAGTATTAGTAGGAATGTAAAATGTATCATGACTTTGGAAAAAAGTGTGACAGTTCCTTCAAAATGTTAAACAGAGAGCGTTACCATAGGATCCAGTAATTCTACTCTATATTAGTTTCCTATGGCTGCTATAACAAATTACCACAAACTAGGTGACTTAAACAAGCAAAAATTTATTCTCTCACAGTTCTAGAGGCCAGAGCCTGAAAATCAGTATCAGTGGGTTGAAATCAAGGTGTTAGCAGAGCTCCACTCTCTGGAGGCCCTAGGGGATAATCTGCTTCCTGTCTCTTCCAGACAGGTTTGTGGTATTTATTACACAGTAATTTAAAACTAATACAGTGATAAAAGGTACCAGATTGAAGAAGCGCAGTCAACCCTAGGCATAAAAAATGTATAGAAAATAATATATGAAGTAAAAGTATATGACAACACCAAAAAGGTAAGAGAAGGTAAACGCAGTTACAAAGTTGGTTCCTGCATTATTCTGGAAGTATACTACCTAAAATAGACTACAGTAGAACATAAGTGCATATTGAAATGTTGGTGGTAACCATTACAACAACGTATTTCTTTTTTTTTTTTTTTCAAGACAGAGTCTCACTCTGTCACTCAGGCTGGAGTGCAGTGGCGCGATCTTGGCTCACTGCAACCTCTGCCGCACAGGTTCATGTAATTCTCCTGCCTCGGCCTCCTGAGTAGCTGGGATTACAGGCACCCGCCACCACGCCCGGGTAATTTTTTTGTATTTCTAGTAGAGACTGAGTTTCACTATCTTGGCCAGGCTGGTCTTGAACTCTTGACCTCGTGATCCACTCACCTTGGCCTCCCAAAGTGCTGGGATTATAGGCGTGAACCATTGTGCCCGGCCCCTAATGTTGTTTTAAAATCTTATCTGACAATTTTTATGTTTTGATAGAACTGTTTTTCCATTTACATTTAATGTATTTGTTGGCATAATTATTAATAGGTTTAAACCCATCATATTGCTGTGTGATATCTAAAAATGTTAAATATTTTAAAGAAATTTTCTCTTTCTGCATTTTTTTGATCAATCATATATATTTTTACTTTTTATATTATATATATTTTTCTCAGTTAGTAAAACAACATCAACAACAGCAAAACGAGACCAAACTTGATAAGCTGTTAACAAAGGGCACACTTTAAATATAAGAACATAATTAGAAAGAAAGTTAAAATTACACAAAAACACAATTTCTCAAAATCATGAGCTGGGGTAGAATTTTTATCAAAATTATTTTCTCTATTAAAGTAATAACGTGATATTTTCCTGTATTCTGTCAATTGCTAAATTAAATTTCTTAATTTTTCTTAATGTTTAGCCAACTCTGGCTCTCCTATAATAAATCCTACCTGTTCATAGCATATTATCCTTTTTAGGTATCACTGAATTAAATTTGCCAATATTTTGTGTAGGATTTTGCATCTATGTTCTTGAGAAAATGACTAGTCTGTCATTTTCCTTTTATAATGTCCTCTTGTTATGTTTTGGTATCAATGCTATGCTGGCCTCATAAAATAAGTTATAAAACATTCCCTGTTTCTCTATTCTATGAAAGAGTTGTATTGGTATTGTTTTCTCCTTAAATGTTTGGTAGAATTTACCAGTGACATCAGCAGGCCTGGAGATTTCTTAATGGAAATGTTTTGAAGCCCAAATATAATTTCTTCAAAGACATTTCTTCAAAAGACATATAATTTCTTCAAAATTCACATTTTCTATGTTTTGTTTTGTCAGCTCATTAAGTTTGGCTTTATAAGGAATTTGTTTATTTCATCTAATTTGTTGCATTTTCTTCTAAAAAGATAGGTGACTTCTCTCTTCTAACACCAGTCAATGCCACTTTAAGATCCTTGAAAACATTTTATAAGCTTTGATTACTAGAGCAATTACAAAATAAAATGTACTTATTAAACAATATTTTGACAATTATATATTGCTCTCTAATTTTTATGTCATTATTGTTTAAATTAGAATATTTGTGCTTTTAGAAGTTCTCCAGCATCTGACAGAACGATGTTCTTTGGGTGTATATAAACTTAGTACCTGAATATTTTAAAAAATGGGAAATAAAACTTATACTTTTGAGAAGTAGAAACAATCAATAATAGACGCTGTGTTCCCTCATGTGTTCATACAGTTTTATCCTAGAAAAAGAGAGTGGAATGCAAACTTTCATACAACTACCACAACTAACATTAATACATTTCATAAGTAGATGTTCCACCAAAACAAAACTGCTCCTATTTTTACCTTTTTATTATCCCTATAAATTCAAACCAATAGCTTAAATAGATTGAAAGTCAGAATAATTTGGTTCAAGAATTTCTTCATTCTCAAGAGCTATATTTGGCAGGAGAGGACCATGAACCAAACTGTATGCACATTTAAACACTTCTATTAGCAAAATAAGAACATACTTGATCTATATTTCACCATGTTTCATACAGTTTTTCAGTATTTATGTAGAATGACTGGCAAAGGGGATATTAAATTGGGATTTTGCAGATTTAGATTCATCACTGGCTAATGTAATGACTTTAGTCAATTCAATGTATGGACACTAGTATCATTTCTAAAGTTTCTGTTCAAGTTTATCTTGTTTTGTAAAGAAACAAATATACCTTAGAACACATTGATGGTTTGCACCAACTTTACCAAATGACTTCCACTATAATTTTCCTGATGGCAACTGTCAGAGCGAAAATGACTACAGACAGGATAGAAACTAGACTACCTTAAACTTTTGTTTAAATACTAGGGAAAAAGAAGAATACTAAGTAATAATTAAATTTTTGCTGTTTAACCTGCCCCAATTTTTACAATATACAATACTGCAAAAAAACGGGTCAAGATGTCTAGGCAACACTTATGGAGACCTTTTAATCTGGCCACTTCATTTTACAATGCATAAAATCACAGGCCAGAGAGGTTAAAGGATTTGCCAATACCAGACAGTTGGTAAGCAGCAAAAAATGCGACAAGAACCCAAGTCTACTATTACTCAACCCAGCTTTCCTTCTAATAATATAGCACAGCCACATCAATGAGAAATAAGTTTCACAAATGTTTCTAAGAGAAGTTATTTAAAATGTTGAGTGTTTGAGGAAGATTTAAGTCATTCATTTCTGTATTTTCTAATTTTATTAATGTGAACTCTGTGAGGAATTTCCATCATGGTCAAAATGCCCCTAGCTAGTTGCTACAGATGACAGACACCTTTTGACAATAAGTAAAACAGAATGCAGAATGGAAGCTACTAAATAAATCAGTGTCTCTATATTGTACACACATCCTAGACACCAGGAACACCAAAAGTTCTCCCAGTTGTCATGTTGGATACAAAGCAATCTCTGGGAAGAGAGACATTTGGCATGCCTTCATACTGCAGGGAAAGTGAGGCTTCCGGCTCCTTTGTGCTTCCATTTTATTTCCCCATCCATGATTAACAGGCCCCTCCCACTTCTATACAGGAATGTTTATAGGGCCAGCCTTTTGTTTTAGTCAGGGCTTAAGTTTTAGCAGACAAGGAACTTATAAATAAAGGCAGTGTTAGGGCTTCCTGTTGGTCCCTTCCCACTGTTTCCCTGAGGTTTAGTCAATTAAATTTTTAAAAAATTTTTAAACATTCTCAGTCATGAAACTCAAAGGCTCTGCTTTAGTATAGTTCAATTTAAATCTTTTTCAAACAATTTACTTCATTGTTTACAATTAACAGAGATAACTTGTATTCAAATATATATAATAATTAATTAATCAATGGTTTGGTGTTCAGTCATCTCTCTTTTGACATGGCATATATCACTGTGAGCAGGTGTTGACTATGAACAAGGAGAAAAAGCAGAATTTCAAATCATGACTCTCTCTGGGACCAAATAACAAGGAAATCAAAACTTAAATTCAATTGTAAAAAGTAAAAGTTCAGAATAAAAAGTAAGATGAAACTCAACTCAAAGGACAAAAGGGATACAACTTGGGGTCTAGCTTATATCAAGAGAAATCTCATGTTAGCTCTCCCTTCCCTCAATTTATTGCTGCTGTAAGGATATAATCACACTGCTATTATAAACATTCTTTCCCACCTTCCTCCACTACCCAAACCATTCCTAGTCACTCTTTTAAATATTAGCAGTGATTGTTTTGCAAAGCAATGCAGTATACAAATTTGGATTTATAGGGGAATTCTGAATATCACATCCTCTCCTCTAGAATCCTTCTTACATTTAAAAGATAGATACTCTCAAGCACCCCCTCACTGAGCACTGCCTCTACTGATTTAACTTCCTTATAAGCACACCCATATGTATGCAGGTATGGAACAGTGGCCAAATTCTTTCTGTGAACCTTGATATAATAATCATGTTTTACTCATTAAAAAATCAGTTCAATATTTTAAGCCCCTCAAGACAAAAATATATTAAAATGTACAATGAATATGTAATGAGAACATTTCATCATATTTTGGTTAAAAAAATCCTTAACCATCTTAAAAAAGCTACAACACATTCAAATTCAAAAGTAATTGTTTAAAATCAATTAATGCTATAAGATTAAGTATTAGACAAAAGTATTCTCATTACCTAAATAAGTCGATTCATATCTTATTAGAGTTCTTACCTATGGTAATTCTTGAAATAATTGACACTTTGTTTTCTAATAGATTCCTGTAAAACTTCAGACTTGCTACCACAAAATTCTTCTCCAACTTGCATCAACCTAGTTGGATAAAAAGGTTTCAGTAAATTTCAGCAGCAGCCTTATAGAGAAAAAGAAGTGTGGTTTCTCTTTCTTCAAAGATAAAAAAAATCACTAAAATTTGGACATGTGAAAAAATTCTAAAGATCACAAATCCATAAAGGTTTACAAACACCCAAAGGGCAGAAATATTTAAATACACTCACAAACTTAGCAGCAAAAATTATCTTCATTTCCATAAAGAAGTTATAGATGATAACTCACTAGCTCATGATTTATCATGGTTGAATGACTCAAACTAAAGAATAAGACAAGATCTTAAATACTACCTGCTGATTATATCCAAAACAAAGATGAAATCATCATATTTGAATATAGACAAATCAGTTCCAAGCAAGTAGGTTTTTACTTTTAGCTGAACATCCTGTAAGGCAAAGAAAAAGAAAATCAAGCAAACCCAAAATATAGAAAATAAGTTATCAGAAGCATTTACTCTATAGTTCCAGATTAAAATGAGACAGGAATATATTCCTAATTTGTTAACGAATATCTATTTAGGCCAATAGCCAACATCCTTAAGGGATGTAATAGAGACAATCCCATTTCCTATACCAGGAATGCCATCAGGTTGCCAAACTGAATGGAAAGTAGCTACATAAAGTGCTAAGTCAGTATTTCAAAGTACACTGAATTACCAGAAATTCTATCATAGATTGTAAAATTTTACCAAAGTACACTTAAGGCCTATTGGGAGACTAAGTCAGAAACAAATCATATCTGATCCTGGGTGTATATTCAATAACTATAAGATTTTCCTTTCTTTTTATGCATAATACTCAGAAAACAGTCAGCCTAAATCCACAATTAATGATAAATTAAATATTTAATTTTAATAAATGTTTAATATGGTTATGAGTTTAATATAGACAAATGAGAAAATATATGTCAAACCTCTTACAACCACAAAAATAAATTTTAAATACTAAAGCATAAAATCAAATAGCATATCGAATACAAAATTATCAAAAATTAGAAGAGCACTAAATTATAAATATTAACTGATTCATGAAGAAATTTATGTTTTCAAAATATATTTTCCTAAACAATTTTTTTCAAAACATATCCTATAAAAGATGGTCAAGCTGGGCATGGTGGCTGATGCCTGTAATCCCAGCACTTTGGGAGGCCAAGGCAGGAATATCACTTGGGCCCAGGAGTTCAAGACCAGTCTGGGCAACATAGCAAGACCCCATATCCACCAATAATAATTTAAGAAAATTAGGCATGGTGGTGCACATCTGTGGTCCCAGCTACTCAGGAGGCTGAGGCAGAAGGATCACCTGAGCCCAAGAGGTCGAGGCTGCACTGGGCCATGACTCTGCCACCACACTCCAGCCTGGGTGACAGAGTGAGACCCTGTCTCAATCAATCAATCAATCAATCAAAAGAAAGAAAGAAAAAAAAAGATGGTCAAAATAAAGATCAGCCTCATTAGAAAAATCAAAAATACATTTTAAAAGACCATAACATGGCCAAAGGGTCTATAGTCTTCCAAGGTTCAAAGAAGTCCAAAAAGAGTAAGTTATCTTCAAAGAAATTACACTGTGATCTAAGAAGTAACAAATTATCTGATTACAACAACTGAGTTACTAAATTGTAAAGAAAAACTTAATAAGATACTGCTATGGTCTGAATGTTCATGTCTACCCAAAATTCCGAAGCTGAAATTCTAACCTCCAAGGTGATAATATATTAGAAGGTGGGGCCTTTGTGAGATGATTAAATCGTGAAGGTAGAGCCCTCATTAATTAGATTAGTTCCCCTATAGAAGGGACCCCAGAGAGCTCCTTCATCCCTTCCACTATTTGAGGATACAGCAAGACAATGTCTATGAACCAGGAAGCAGGCCCTCCCTCCCAACAATGCTGGCACCCTGATCTCTGACTTCCAGCCTTTAGAATTCTAAGAAATAAACTTCTCTGTTTATAAACTATGCAGTCTAGAATATTTTGTTATAGGAGCCCAAATGGACTAAAACCAGATATATTCAGCCAATAAGCATGTAAGATTCCCTCAAGGTACAAAGATCATTGACTGAGAAAAAAAGAATTATTCATTCTAAACTATAATCTGACCTAAGTATGCTATCTACTTAGTTACTCCTTTTCTAAAATTAACAGAAAAAAAAATTAAGAAAACACAGATAAATGAAATAATAAACAGAACATCTCACTGAGAAAGCATACATTTCTCTATGATAGTGGAAATTTGCTAGGCCTCTAAAACAAAAGATGTACTCAAGACATGTATGAATATTTCCAGTGGAGATTTTCAAATTAAAAAACTTTTTTCCTGCCACTTATAGTCCAAATACATTACAGAAATTAAATGATAGCCTAATTCCAAACAGAAACATATGATTAAATCTGCAAAGAATACATATATAGAAAACTTAAAACTGAATTTCTAAAACTATGACATGACATTTCTATTGCTTCTGTGAAAAAAATAATTTTAAAAAAACCAAACCTGCCATATTCGTGTAAGTCCATGTTCTAATTTCTTTTTTATGTAGCCACGATCAAAATTAGTTTCTTCAGTACCTATCATATTACTCCCTTCTGAAAATAAAAGACAATATATATTTTTAGATTTAATCCAATTTGTGTTTGTTTTCCAAATAATTTCTATTTGGCCTCTCACACATTGTAAGTCTATGTAAGATACAGTAAATATGTTTGATATTTATACAATCAAAACAATATCAAACAATAGGTATTAGACTTAAACCCATTTGGTGAGACAAATAAACGTAGACTATGAAATGCTAAATATACCTAAGACCACTGAGATCATATGTGACTGAGTTGGGATTCTACCTGAGTCAGTGTGGTCCCAGAGACCAGGTTCTCAATACTGCCTACTGCAAGACCATGTAAAAGGCTGTGAGAAGGGCATTACAGGACCAATTAACTGAATTATCAATTAATATGCGTGCTAAGAGGATAGTCTACATTAAAACTCAGGCGTGAGGTGATAATGCATATATTTTATATTTTTCATGATAAATAATAGTTTTATCCACTCCAGATAAATAATTTAACAATGTCTAGTTTAATAGATAAGATCAGTGATCTGCCTCCAATCTCCGCCCTAAAGACAACTGAAAAAGACACATACACATTTATATTAAAAAGATGAAACTTTTGTGTGAATATCCTGTGAAGAACAACTAAGTGAGTATGTTATCATCTTGTCTTAGGTTGGGAAGTTATCCACTGATAACCAGTAAAAGGTCCTTGGAAATGCCAGGCCTCAGATACACAGATGCATGACAAGTTTGCCTCTGAGCACTCCTAAAACGTAAGCCTTATTATTACACCCATGGTATGGCTGTTAGGGATCCAGCAGCCTAAGGCAGTGCACCTGAACTATAGCTTTAGAGCTTTACCTTAGAACGTTAAAGTATTAGGTTACCAAACAGTATCAAATATTATCACTAAAGAGATACAGCAGATAAAGTCTAGAGTCCTCTTCAGTTTTATGAAGTTCCATGAAAAGTAATTTTCAATTTACTAATTTCTACAATTTTATTCCTGAATATAAAAGGATTAATTTCAGGTGAACAAGTAACTTTTTATAGTCCTAGATACTATCAGCTGACAGCTTGAGCACTTGAATATCCATAAAATATACAGATTAGGCAAAGAGGGTTGAGTAATAAGGATCAGATAGAGTTTTCACTTTGACTCAGTATTCCAACGAATGTAAACTATTGGCCTAAAGCAAAAAGCAAGCTTTACCATGATGAATATATACATAACTGTCACCTAAATTCTGATATCTAAAATATGTGTTAATTCTATTCCAAACGTTTTCTTTGGTTTCTCCTTAAATAATGTACTAGAAAAGCAAATATGTCTTAACAGTCTCCAGGTATTTCACTATTATTATATTATCTCTTGATCCATTTCATTTCATCATATTAACCACCACCAATATAAGTACCTTACATGCTGTCCAAACTTTACAACAACCCTGCAGGGTAGATGCGTTACTACTCTAAGGGTTTGGTTTGGTTTTGCTTTGCTTTTTAACTGACCAATTTTAGGAGCAAACTGAAGAATGGGAAAAATAAGCAGTGTCTTCAAGTTCTCACCTTTGGTAAATAGAAGTGAAAACTTGAAGCCAGGCCTCTCAGATCGCAGAGCTCATGGTCCCAGGGGTAGTACAGGGTAAAAGTATAAGTTTTGGGTAAAAGTAGTCTGACCTGGAATCCTGGCTGTGTGCCCAACCTTCTCTCTGCCTTTCTCTCCCTTCCTTTACTCTCCCCAACAATATTTCCAAATGGATAAAAATCCATTCATGGAATTTTCCTCTTATTTTGTTTTCTATATTTACAAGCTTCTTGTAAGTCAAGACAAAGATTAAACCTATGCCTTCTAAACTACCAAAACATTTAATCAAACAGTGAGATTTGGGTGTGTTGTCCACTCACCCAACAACAGAAAATAAGCCCCTCAGAAACTGGAAGTTTATTAAAGTAACTTGATTGAATAGCTACAATAAATTGTATATAATACAAAAAAAAAGATGTGCAGTATAATTTATTTTATCCATATTAAACAAAATGCTGATAAAATCATTTACTGTTTTTATAAGTATTCTGAATATTCAATCTCAGCTACTGTTCAAGGATAATCAGTTAAGATATATAATTATACAAATGAAGCAATTTAAATAGAATGATTAATAAATACAATAATTTTTCAAAGACGTATTCTTTATTATTTAGCTGACTGTACCACAGTCATTTAAAGTTATATTTTCCATTCAAAGATGAATATTTTAAAACATCATTTTGAAAATGAAATTCTAGTCTTGCTTCATTTTCAGGAAGGAAAGTATCAATATAATTAATTCTTAGAACCTAGCTTTATTACTGTAACTTGAAAATTGGCTAAATAGATTAATATTGACCATCTAGCATTAATTTCACAGTAAACTTAGACAGACCAATGTCTTATCTAGTTTGCAACTAATAATATTAACAACAACAAAAATTTATAAATTCAGTCCTAAAGCCATCAGCACACACTTCTGGAAACTAGTACTATGTGCCACTTAAAAAGTCCTTTGGCCCAGTTACTCTCTAAAGGTAATAGAACATTTGAAGTAGCTGAATCACTTTCTTTGCTCAATATTTAGCCTATGGTCACTGTAATCTTTGAAATCCCAAAGGCATTCCTGCCCCTTTCCTTTCTTCTTACTCCAGTAATGTGGGATATTTATAGTTCAATTTTTAAAATAAAATAAAAATATTTTCCTACCAGAAGCTGAAGCAGTATCCTCATTGTCATGCTTTTCATGCCATTCCATAGTCCTATAATAGCTGAGCATAACTTCCCATAGTGCTTTGCACAGGTCTGCAAGGCATGGAATATAGCTGTCTGGTGTAACATGCTAAAGAAAATGATAAGAGACAACTTTCAAATTATTATGTTTACTCTAACAGTTATAATAAAATAGGTTATTAATCAAATATATTCAAAAATTAGAAATAACCAAGAAAATTTCTTCAACTGACATATCTAAAGAGAAAATTCAATGGGGAGAAAAAAAATTTTTAAATAATTCCCATCTCAACATGGCTTTTTCGTACACATTAAGAATATCAGCCCATATGCTGTGAATCAATCTGTAGTTACAGAACCATAAAGAAATTACTGAATTAGCAACTGGTCCCATAAATAGCAGTGTAAACATCCCCAAATGCATTTTTTGAAAGACATGATCCTAAACATGCAAATACAGCTTTACATAGCCTGGACCTCAGGCCTTCTTGCAAAAAGAAGGTTGGATTTACAATTCTGTCATTTCATTTGTGTAAATTAAGTAAACATCTTTGACAATCTCTAAATTTTTAAAATCGTATGGAATAGATATTCTATATCTGACAATAACATTTTAAAATAACTTCTAACATAAACAAGGCTATGAAACAATATATGAACTCAAATACTCTCCTTAATGGAAGTGCATGAATTTTGCTTCCCTTTGTAAAAACAACCAATTTGCCATTCTGCCCTTTTATTTTATTCTATTTTGCAGGCTTCCCATTTGTCATAATGCAGCAATTGCTCCATCATTTGAGATTTTCTAGCATTTATTTAGTTTGTGATCAATCGACTACAACTTATGCTGATGAAATATTGAAAGTTGAAGACTCTGGTGTAAGTAAACTCCCCAAGATAAACAGCTAGTAGAAATAAGCTATGGCAAGTATTGCCATGGTGTGTGGTTGATGCTCATGATGTCACAGTTGGTAGTGGTCCTTGCTCTTTCAAAAGGCTTTTTCTTCCCATAATGATCTCTCCCTCTAAACTCATTCACCAAAACATTCATTTGGCAAGTAATAAAAATACTAGCTTACATGATTTACTACACTTCCATGTAAGTATATCAAATCTTTGAAATTAAGACTGTGGGGTTTATGCCAAGAATGCTAGAATGGCTTAATCTTACAAAATCTATTAATATAATTTGCTCTATTAATAGGTCTAAGGAGAAAAATCAAATGATTATCTCAATAGGTGCTGATCAAAAAAAATTTCTCAAAGTGGGCTTTAAGAAAATTCAAAACCCACTCCTAACAAAAACATATGAGGAAATAAGAATGAATAGGTATTTCCTTAATATGAGAAAACTCTAAGGCACAACCCCTGTGGTCACAAAAAAAAAAAAAAAAGATGCCCATTATCTCCACTACTGTTTAACTGTTTACACTGCTATTTATGAGAACACCTGCTAATTCAATAATTTCTTTGTTTGATTCACAGCATATGGGCTGGTATTTAACAATGATTCAGAAGTACAAGCTAATGCAATTAGATTACAGAAAACAGAGGCAAAAGAATAGGACAAGAAAAAATGAAACTATTTATATCCGCTAATGACATAAAAATATGCCCAGAAATTCCTAGAGAACCAATAATAAAACTAATTCAAACAATAAAAGAATTCAGCAAAGTAGCAAGTTGTAAAATGTACATGCCCAAACCAATGGCATTTGTATACAAATAAACATTTAGAAGAGACACTGAATGAGAAACCCTCATTTATAATAACAAGAGAGAATTTTTAGGAATTTAATAAGAAATGATTGAAAACCAAGAAGAAAACCATGAAACACTCCCAAGAGACATAAAAATAGACTTGAACAAATGGAAAGAAATCCCTTATTCTTGGTTAGGATGTCTCAACATCATCAAGATGTCAATTTTCCTTAATTTATAAATTTACTGAGATAGCAATAAAAAAGTACAGAAAAAGATCTGGTCTCATATACAAATCTGGTATATGATAAAGATGGCATCGCACATCACTTAGATGAAGATAGTGTTTTCTTTACAAATAGTTTTGGGAAAATTGTATAGTTAGCTGGAAAAACATAAAATTAGACATATTCCTCCAGAATACGTAAGAATAAACTCCAAATGAATAAGAGATTTAAATGTCAAAAATAAAACTATACTAGAAGAAAACATGAATCAATTTCTCTCTAACATTGATATAGAAAAAGACTTTCTAATTACAACACAAAATTTACAAGTAATAAAAGTAACATTTGATTTTACTATATAAAAATATAAGTACAATTTGTATAGCAAAAAACACCATATGTGAGGTCAAAAGACAAATGACAACTCTGTAAAATATTCACAACATATATTCACAATAAAGAGCTGATATTCCACATTTATATAGAATTCTTAAAAGTTTGGGGAAAAAAAGACTAAAACTCCTATCAAAAAAATGAGAAAAAATGCACATGAACACACTTCATAAACAGAGATACAAAAATGGCCCTTCAACACAGAAAAGCATGTGTAGTTTTACTTGTAATAGGACAAATGTAAGTTAAAACTACAATAAGATGCAAATTCTCACCAATCTCAAAGATTCTCACCAATCTCAATCTTAAAGTTGACCACTGACAAAGATTCTCTCCTTAACCAAACTCTAGTCAGGCTCCTCTGAGCTATCTTCTTAACCACGGCCTAAAAAAAACTTGGATGAAACACCTAACAGAGTTTCTAATGGCTCAAGCCACATCCCTAGGATGACTTCAGCCCCACCTTACAATGCCGGCCTGAAAAAACTCAAGGCTGCCAATGTACTTGAAAAAAAAAATGTACTGTTTGTTCCAACATCTGAAGATAGGGCCCCTGTCCCCCAGTCTCTGTGAGAGGGTAGGAGACTAACCACCATAAACATCAGTTAGCAAACACAAATGGGTTTCACGTGGACCGACTCCCTTCTCACTAGTAAATGTTCACTTTTCTGACTCCACTAAGCCCCTGCTCAACCCCTTCCCTCATTTTCCCTTTAAAAAATGCCCAGTCACCATTGTATAAATCAAAGTTGAATCAGTTCACACTGGACTCTTTTCCCTATTACAATAATATCTTCTGATTAAAACCTGTCCTCAACACTTTAGTATCTGGCTTTATCTTTGACATCATATATGCTCTGTTGGCAAGGCTGTGATGAAACAGGCACTCTCATACATTGCTGATGCAAAATAGTACAATCCCAAGGAGGGGAATTTGTCACGATCTAACAAAACCTACGTGTGTATTTTTTCTTCAACCTAGCAATTCTACTTCTAGGAATTTATACTGAAGGTATACCTCAAACAATGTGAAAATACATATGCACCATGTTATTTATTAAAGGATTATTTGTAATTGCAAAACACTGAAATATATTTAAATGTCCAAACACAGGAGATTGGTAGAACATTATTCATACATACAAAAGAGTACTTTGCAGCTGTGAAAAACAATTTTGGGTAATCTCTCACATTTACTTCTATAATCGCTACCCTTACAATGAGCCAGTCTTAATGTTTTCCCTTAGTGATATGGTTTGGTTGTGTCTGTCCCCACCCAAATCTCACCTTGAGTTGTAATAATCCCCATGTGTCAAGGGCGGGGCGGTTTTCCCCATACTGTTCTCATGATAGTGAATAAGTCTCATGAGATCTGATGGTTTTGTAAGTGAGAGTTCCTCTGCACAAGCCCTCTTGCCAGCAACAGGTAAGATGAGACGTTAATCCTCATTTGCCTCCCGCCATGACTGTAAGGCCTCCCCAGTCATGTGGAACTGTGAGTCAATTAAACCTCTATCGTTTATAAATGACCCAGTCTTGGATGTGCCTTTATTAGCAGCGTGAGAACAGACTAATACACTTGGTTTATTTTTAGCACAAAATTATACCTGACATACCTCTTACACCATACACATATGACGAAAGCCAATACTAATGCACAGGGTCAAGAAAAGACTAAAAACCTTTTCCAAGAACAAGGCAAAGCAAAAATCCCAAAAAGTTCTGGGCTGCAACTCAGCAATCATACCCAAATAAAGGTACTCCTCTACAAGTCAGTAGTTCTAACTTTTATTAGCCCAACTTCGCATAAATGTGTATATTATGCAAACAAATTTAATCTAAGTATAGCTCAACATTCTTTCTGGTAGATAAGAAAAAGGCAATGTTAGTCATATTTTTTCCCAAAGAAAAATTATGACTGTACAAATAATTGTGTTATAATTAATTTCTATTATACTTGTCACAGTTTAACAAACCAGAAAATTAAAACTTAAACCTACTATCTTCTATTTTCCACCCAACCACTGTCCAGCTCATTATATGCCTATTTATTTGAAAAAAAAAAAAAAGAGGTCCTTCATTATGTTATCTCTTGAGGATTTGCTGAAATTTAATGGGTTTGGATGAGATATACACACACAGATGTTTATGTGAATCTTTTTTTCATAAAAAGTTAAAGTTACTTAGTGAAGCTATAGCAAGGCTTTCTTCTCACTGAACTGATTCAAGTGTAAATAATCCAGAGATCTAGCTAAACCACTGCACATACCTAAATGTCTCCCAAAAGGACCCAAATTTATTATCTTCAAATATATTCACATGTACAAACATAAGACTATGATACACGCAGCACCAGCAAACAAGATGATTCTTGCCTAAGTTCATATTCTAAAAAAGGAACAAACGTAAAGACCATTTTATTAAATACATATACAATAAATAGTTTAAGGAAAAAAGGCAAGGTGGGGTAGTTTTTTTTTTAAAAAAAAAAAAAAAACAACGTTTTCAACAAATTTAAGCCCAGCTATGTTAATCTCTGAAGGTTATACTGGCAATAAGTTAAAAGAGTTATTTCATTTTAAAATTGAGCCCCTTTCCATTATGCCATGCAACCAACTGGTGTCAATTGTCACAGTGACAAATGCTTCTCATGCTTTTAACATCATTTAACTAAAATTATTTGCAACTAGTATTTTCTACTTTATAAAAATGACCTCCAAATTTCAAATCGAGAATTTTATTACAAAGACATGAATGAATCATAACCAGAGAGATTCAATGAAGCCAGAGAATAAGCAAATAATTACACAGGTAATCAAAAAATAAAAGGCAGGCTAATAAGAGGAACCTGAGTGTTCCACCCAAGCATCAATTCTTCACATCTGCAGAGCATAATGGAAAGAGACCTAAATTAAGAATTGGAATCCCTGGATTCCAGCTGGCACTAGTTCCACAAACTTACAGTCGCATGCCTTAGATAATAAACCACTCTGGTTCTCAGCTTCACCTTTCATAAACGTGTTAGAGATACTTGTATCTTCCTATTTCATCACTGGTTGAAGTCATTCATTTATTACTAAATACCTAACATTGAAACTCAGTTCAGGTGAAGGGGAGACTCATTTGGCATAATACTAGGAATATCATAGCAGAGGAGCACCATATTATAATCCCAGTTCTATGTTCACATCACATATGGAAAATAGCAATGAAAGTATTGATTGAATCAATTTACAAAATATTCACATAGTAAGACATCCCCAAGAGCTAAATAACATATCTTGAAATTTTTTTAAGAATAGATAAGAAATCGAAATTTAATTACCAAATATTTCCCTGTGTTCTAAAACTATTTTCCACTGCTACTCTTCCACTTAAAGCTATTAGCTTCAATTTATTTAGCAAAGACTGTAAAGTGAGGGGAAAAGATAAAATAGGCATATAATCTTTGGGAAATATCCCAAGAAATGCACAGAAAAAAAAGGAAATTTTAACCATCCTAATTTAAAAAAAATCCATAAACTCTATAACAGAGACAACATACATGTCTAATAAATTTGGCGATCATAAAAGGTAAACAAATATCCTAGGAGGAAGGATTTGGAGAAGATGAAGAAACTGGATGTTCCATGCAAGAAGCTCACAGCATTTCCACTATGCTTCACATTCCAACGCCACAATTCATTCCTTAATCCAATTTTGATTAACACTTTCACAAAATCCACAAATCTGATTTCCCATCTCTTATCACTGTCAGTTCACAGTAACACTTGGCACCTTCCATTTCTTCTATTAACCACCTCAGCCAACCTACCTGGTTAAAATAAAAATGATGAAACTAGCTTATCAAAACCAGCAACATCTCAGTCTTGATTATAAAATATAAGTTGAGGCCATTTTCAAAGAACAGTGTAAATCCAGAAATTAATATAAGCAGCCTTTATAAGTTTGAAGCACACAATAAAAGAATGTCATCTTCTGAAAGTTATTTAAATGCAAAGTAAAGTAGTAAATACGGGAGGAAAAGCTGCTAGTCTTTTGCTTTTTATTCTATAATTTACTTTAATACTTATAAGAAATCTCTATTACTAAATCCCTACAAAAATTTCAAAGTAATGCTTTTTATATTAGAGCATCAAAATGAAAAGTCTTAGGGATGGTTGTAATGAATTATTTTGTTCTTATTCCACGTTTTGATTTAGCACTCTAATCACATCCTAACAAACATAAAGGGAACAGATGTTTTGGCATCCTCACAGAGATCCAAAATTCCCAGTGCCTCCACCCCCCAAAACACACACACAGTGATAGATGGATTTCAAAAAACAACAAAGGGTTGGTTATCAGTATCTTTAGATGAATGCTGTTAGTACTATGAGCTCACATCATCAGAAGCTGCTGGGGAGAATCCTGCTTATCTGAGTGGCTTCTGAAAATATGCTGCTGGTCAAAACAGCACCAGGCCCAGGGAGTTGAAAACATCTTTGGGGGTAACTCTGGACCTATGGAAGTGTCTGAGCCAGTATCTAATATTTAATTACTCCAATATCTAATTACTTCTGTGAGGGCCTAGCTGTATGAAATATGATTATCTTAAGAAGTTTCCAGCCATTGGAAACCAGAGAGGTAGTACTGCATAGTGGAAAGAGCACTGAACTAGATGAAACATGTTTGGGCTTGGAGCCCAACTTTGTCACTTACTTGATCATGACTCCTGCATAGCAATTCATGTATCTAAACCCCAAGGGTTAAAGCAAATCTCCTAGAGTCCCTCTGAAGCTTTAAAAGCTATGAGTCTCCATAGACAAAAATATGCATATGCTTTTAGCAAAACTTTCCTTGCAACTCACTGGATTCATTCATGATTTAAAAACAAATATAATCGGGGAGAAAAACACTCATTCTCATCTACGGCATTTTATCATTAATGCTAAATATGTATATACACATAAGACATGTAATATGTATGATATAAATAATCCCAACTTGGAATTAAGTAACTAGCACCCGTTAAATTGTGAAATAAAAAGTTCTTCTTTAGTTGGCAGGTTATTCTAATTGCTGTTAAATGGCCTTAATCAAATAGACAGCTCAATATTAGAAAACAAGCAAAGTATGTATAATCAGAATATATAATTATCTTTCAAAGTTTCAAGTTATAAGATGCTATTAACCCTCACGCTGCCTGAGATCACACAAAAAAAGGCAGTATTTAAATATAAAAACACTATCAAATAATCAGGTGTTTGGGAGGTTTCAAAAATGGTTTCCTGTTGGGCAAGGTGGCCCAAAAACGGTTTCCCACTAGTAAATTATTTTTTCTTTCTGCTGGAAGCTGTGTGCCACCATATAAAGATAGGTTGGCTCTTTTTTATCTCCAATCCAATCCCCCTCCCTAAAAAAATCATCCAGCAGTCTAAATTACATTGATAATGTTAAGAGTTCTTAGACATGAACAATATAGAGGCCTTGCCAGACCTGGAACACCCCTCCACTTCCAGCCAAGACAGTTAACACTAGTTACTCAGATAAATGGTTACCCAAAGCATGTGCTCCATAGGCACTCATTATTCCCTGGGTGCATTAGAAACAACCAAACCACCATACTAAAAAATCCGGTTAAACCAAGCCAGACAATCTACTATTCCTTTCACCTGCCCTGTGCTTTCCTACTCTCATGGCATTGCTCATGATATTTCCTTTCCATTCCTGGACACACACTGTTCCTGTTGTGCCTGTTGAAATCTAAGACCCAACTTTTTCCTCCCTTGCAAACCTTAAAGAGATATTTTGACTCCTTGGATACTTTATGCCATTTGACCTTTTCTTATTCTACCTCTGATCATAATTAATGTGACCTTAACTAGATTATTACTTTAAAGTCTTATTTGTCCTTGCTGATCTGAACTGATGACTGAGTAAGAAAACTGACGACTGAGTAAGAAAAGCTCAGTAGGCCAGGCGCGGTGGCTCACACCTATAATCCCAGCACTTTGGGAAGCCAAGGCAGGTGGATCACCTGAAGTCAGGATTTCGAGACCAGCCTGACCAACATGGTGAAACCTCGTCTCTAATCAAAATACAAAAATTAGCCGGGTGTGGTGGTGGGAGCTGTAATCCCAACTACTTGGGAAGCTGAGGCAGGAGGATCACTTGAACCTGTTGAACGCGGGAGGTGGAGGTTGCAACGAGCCAAGATCACGCCATTGAACTCCAGCCCAGGCAACAGAGGGAGACTCCGCCTCAAAAAAAAAAAAAAGAAAAGAAAAAGAAAAAAGCTCAGTAATGACAAGTGAACTGGTTTACACTTAACAAGTTATAGTGCTAAGAATATGAAGTCTGTGTCTTCTACCAGCATCCAGGAAATAGTAACAGGCTAGCTTATTAATTTGCAAGTAGAATAAAATTTCAGACTCCTCACAATTTTTGATGATCCAGAGAGAAAATGGCAAGAAAAAAAAGGAAGAAACAAATAAACTTTCCTTACCTACCTTTTGGTCATTAAGTTTTAATTTTAAAAATTATCAAAACCTACTTAATTTAGAAATCATTACATAAAATTATATACTACAAAATTAGCTAGGCACTCCATATATGTGATAAGAATAAATCTGACAGCTGAATTCTTAGTTCATTCTGAAACTGACCTGAGCAAACCAAGTAAATGATAATATTCTTTGAAGTGAAAAGGTTTCTCTCTTCAACCAAATATTCAAATTTGTAGCATTCAGCAAGAAAGGTCTACTCACCTATTCAACCACATCAAGCAAATTAACCTCAACAATCAATGAAACGTCGTTTAACCTCCTTACCATCCCAAACATGACTGATTGATATGCAACACAAATTATTTTTGATATGCTACCTCTGGCATCTGATAATTATGGTATTAAATAAAAGATAATCAGCATTCATGTGCTCAGGGAAAGGGATAAATGCAGACTCTGCTGATCAGGAGTGTAAATTGAAATACCATTTTTTATAGGGCAATTTAGGAAAGACAAACCAAAAGCCTTTAAAATGTAAAGCTTTGACAGACAATGCAATTTCATTTCTCGTGATTTATCCTAAAGAAATAAAGATGTACACAAAGATTTAGCTTTAAGAATATTTACTACAGTGCTGTTCATAATGACAAAAGCTGGAAATAACATAAATATCCAAGAACAGGAAAGCAGTTAATTAATCCACAGCATCACTTACAGTGAAATACCGTTTGGTCATTAAAAATTATGCAAGTAGCATATTTACTGAAATAGAAAAATTGTTTTTTGTTTTTTTTTTTTTGAGACGGAGTCTGGCTCTGTCCCCCAGGCTGGAGTGCAGTGGCGCAATCTCAGCTCACGGCAAGCTCCGCCTCCAGGGTTCATGTCATTCTCCTGCCTCAGCCTCCCGAGTAGCTGGGACTACAAGCGCCCGCCACCACGCCCGGCTAATTTTTTGTATTTTTAGTAGAGACAGGGTTTCACCGTGTTAGCCAGGATGGTCTCGATCTCCTGACCTCGTGATCCACCCGCCTCAGCCTCCCAAAGTGCTGGGATTACAGGCGTGAGCCACCGCGCCCAGCCGGAAAAATTGTTTATAATGTAGCAAGTGGCAAAAAAGTTATAAAACAGTTTGTGCAGCTACTTTTAAAAGCTATCAGCTTATATACACATTAAAAGAACCAGCTTTGCATGCAGACATATGCAATTTTTACTTTCTTCTTTTTGCTTGTGTCTTTTCCTACAATTAATGTTTTAGTTGTATAATTTAAAATATGCATATTTTTAAGAGAATGTATATTAATGATTGCTTAATTTGAGCCACTATTTATATAACTTATATTATGTCTAGCCCTATAAAGACTGTGAGTAACATAAAGACATATAAATAACATACCAGTTTAAGAAGTCGGAAAACAGAAAAAGGGTAAGGAGGCAGCAGTTAATTCTATAGAGAACCCAAAACAAAATGGGTACTAAACATGAACATTAACTTTAGCATTAATTTCCTGCAGCTTATTATCCATAGTAAAGAGAGTCAATACACTCTCACAGTATCTGATGAGAGAAAATATTAATTCTAAACAAAAATCCTGAGGATTTAGGAACAGAAACATGTTTTCACTCAAAAGAAGAATCTGTCTTTGGGGTTTTATACTAATAACAAAATAAACTGTTATTTTCTACAGGGACTTTACTAAAGATATTGGTTGACTCCCAAAAAATCGACATGATTATAATTCAGTATCAAAAAATACTGTTTTTAAGAATGAAACTTTAAAAGCCTATAAGAATGGGACATTAGATTAATATTATAGTTTGTCTATGATGTACTAATATAAAGCACCTGTAAAAGTACATGGCTCAGAGAAGGTGCTCAGTGTTGGTTTTCTTTCCCTCTCACTTAACCTAAACAGACTCTAATTGTGTCAACACCACACCAGTTGGAGACAAATATGGCAATCCAATTACTAAGGAAACACCTCCAATGTGCCAGACACTATGAAAACACATAATGAAATAATTTCAAAAGTTTTTTCTAACAGAAACATTTTATTTTCCCCCAAATAATATATGAGTGTGTATGTATGTATGTATATATATATATACAGAGAGAGTATATTTTTACATAGCATATATTTTTACTACATTATGAAATTCATCATAAAAACAGAACTCAAAGCTCATTAAGATGATTTGGAAATGAACAATTTTAAAAATAGTTGAGAAAACTTCAGGCAGCCTAGCCAACTCCATTGTCCTAAAATTAATCAATAACATCCTAATTAGCATCTTGAAATAAGCTCCCCAGGAAAACCCATCAGCCTGCCAAAGTAATGTTATTTTTAAAAAGGAAAAAAAAATCCTTATGAATACTTCATAAACTTTCAAATAAACCACAAAGGGTTTCTCTACAAAGGTGTTAAATTAAAAGCTTCCAAATGTTGTCTATAAATCTCTCCACAAATTGGTGTAAATATGTAGGGTACATCAAAATGTAAATGCAATCACAAACAAGGCCTAATTTTTTAAGTAAATAAAAGTACTACTATGAGTCCTTTATATTTTCCCTTTCCAGAAATGAAGTATGATGAATTTTCATTTGGAAATCTTGCTGCTAAGTTTTAGCGATTTATTTGGGTTTCAAAATAATGTACCTACTTTTTTTAAAAAAAGAACCTAAACAGCTAGTGTAAAAGCAGTAAACCAATACATTCAAGAAAAGCAGAGAAAACAGACTGAAAGACAACCAATAAAAACTATGCATCTAATTAAACCACTCTAAAAACATGTTTAGTAAAGAAAAAAAAGTACATTCAACTGCAAAATGATTTCAAAAAGCTCAAAACCAACTAAACTTTTAAACTCAGAGCAATGGTGAATAGAAACAAATGGCAGAAAATTGATTGGGAAGGGATGCTGCTGGCCTTAAGAACTTGAGGTTCTGTATACCAGAGTAAATAAAAACGGAACACTAATTTCATCTCAGATTTCCAAGAGGTTTTTCTTTTTTTTTTAATTAGTTCAATTTCACTGTAGCTCATTTAGGCTGATATCTAAGAATAGTTTAAAATGATACTATGCATAAAGCAAGCAGATGATTATCTCTTTTCATTTCCACTCTCTTTCCATTTAAAGGAAGCACAATTATTCCCTGTTCACAGGAACTCAAATCTGCCTCTTACTCTGTAGCATTCATCTTAATTTTCAATGTTATTTTTAAGCTCTATGTATGACTAAACACTTCCTTCAAAACATTGCTACTGTACAGAGGATATAAACTGCCAAAATGCCTAGACTCTTTCTTCTCATTTCATGTCAGTCAACACCCTGCACATGTTTTGAGGACTCTCCTGCTTCTTGCTCACCTGATGCCCCACTGCCACATTTGCTCTCACACAAGTATATCTTCGATAATTATTATCAGTTATTTTTAATCACAGGCTAAAATGATCCCCCACTGCCACATATTGAAAAATAAGCAGCTTACATTCTAATACAAAGTTCCTTCATGAATTATCTCTCTTGCCTGAGTTATGCCTTGATATTTTTTCTCACCAGGAAAATGTACTTAGATTTCATCACCTTCTTTATTCAGCTCCTCTATCTTTCCTCTCCTCAGCTAACCACTATATTTTATAGAACTCAGTTACTAAAAGTTAACAACTTTTCATCAAACTAGGTAATAAATAAGCAGAACTAGAAAGAAAGAATTTCTTCCAAATCTTACCTGATTTAACCATCAAATATGACTCAATATTATAAAATAAATTAACAGGTTACAAAAAGGTTTCTGCACTCATATCTGCCTGTAGCAGCACTGACCAGGAGCCTTGGGGGTAATTTCTAGAAGGCCTGGGATGATTTCTAAACTTCTTTAATTTTTTTATTGAGAATAGCCAAAGAAAATGGGTTACCTTGATATGCATCACAATCTTCACCTTATTATGTTAACTCCTTTCTTAAAAAGAAATTCCTCCATTAAGCCATCGCCAATATTTGCTATTATTCTCACCAATTCGAACCAAAGCTACTTCAACTAATGTTTTAGCACAGCTTGAATAAATACCAAAAAAGTACAACTGTGTTAGACAAATAATAATATATGAGCCTGCTATTATGTTTTCTATGACTACACTTCAAAATATTAATAAATCATTGGTTTCCTTATAGATATACATATACGTGTGTGTGTATATATATGTACATATATATATATATATCACCTACTATCACACGTATATGGATAATTTTATAATAAAGTACCAGAAGTTTCTTGGGGATAATTTTAACAAGTATTTACTAAAGATGAAACTAAGGATAAGGATAAGCTATTTATTATCTTATAATTTAAATATATACACAACTACTTCAAAAGATTATTTTACACTCAGCTTTTTTTTTTTTTTTTTTTTGAGACAGAGTCTGTCGCCCAGGCTGGAGTGCAGTGGTGTGATCTCAGCTCACTGCAACCTCCACCTCCCTGGTTCAAGCAATTCTCCTGCTTCAGCCTTCCCAGTAGCAGGGATTACAGGCATGCGCCACTACACCCAGCTAATATTTTTTTTTTTTGTATTTTTAGTAGAGGCAGGGTTTTGCATGTTGTCCAGGCTGGTCTTGAACCCCTGGCCTCCTTGGCCTCCCAAAGTGCTGGGATTACAGGCATAAGCCACCATGCCCAGCCTACAGTCAGCTTCTTTAAAAAGTGAAAGAAACTCAGAAGAAACATAATGGTAAACACCTTGAGCACAAATTTTTGTTCATAAAAATTTGTAAGCCAAGTATATCTTTCAGCTTTTTGTTATATAAATGCACAGAGGGGCTTTCTCATGAAGCATGAGCACAATTTATGTCTTTGACTTTTTTAAAAGCATATAAAAATGGTCAATAAAAGAAAGCAAAATATACATACACAAACACACACAACAGATTTAACCAAATTTAAAAAGATGAAAAGACAAAACTCTAATTTGTTTAAAATGTTTGGTTTAATTTTTAAGAGTTCTTTTCTGCTTTAATAGAAAAAAATTGCTAACATAATAAATTGCTTTACCATCTATTAGTGATAGCAACATTACAATAAAAAAATTAATAAAACTTATTAGAATAAAAAAGGTGATTGGGTAATTTTATAATATATACTATCAAAGTAAGAACATATATGAATAAGAAAAATAACAATAAACAAAACATTTCAAAATTATTAATATTTACCAAATGATAGCTATACCTAAAACTGAACATTTAAAGACAAAATTATGCAACTACATCACACTTAAAGTTAGTAATCATAAAATCTGTAAAACAGTCCTCATGGTTTCTACAATTAGTTTAAAAAGATATTTTTAGCCGTATTAACATACATCCACTGTCGTTATTAACTTAATCTTTAATACATCATATATAATCACACCCTTCCAGGATACTTATTGTAGCTCAGGTAAGAAAATTTCTGTAGTACCCAACAGACATATAACCAGCAGGTTTGACAAAGAAATTCATTGAAGGATGAAGATTACTTATTTTTACACTAATTCCTGGACACAATTACAAAGCAGAATAGATATCTACTTACTAGAAGTGTTATAATTTCCTGACTTGACATTAGAGAAAACTCAAGGATGTCTCCAGTGAGAGACATAGCGCATTCTTAGGCTAAAGGAAGAAATCATGGTAAACAGTACCTCCACATGGTTAAATCAAGTGGTCAATCCTTTAATATTACCATATTCAGACTCTCAGCAGCATCTGACATAGGTTCCATTCTTCTTGAAATGCTTCCTTCTTCATGCTGTTGTGACACCACCATCTCCTAGTTTTCCTCCTACCCAGCTAGTTGCTCTAAGACTCTACTAGTCTCATTCCTCTATCTAACCCCTGAATGTCACAAGACCCAGGGCCCTCATGTCTTCTTTATTTATACCCTTTCACCTCAATCTTCTTACCTGGTATCAGGGCTTTAAATACAAGTAGATGCTGATGACTCCTAAATTTACAAACTCAGCCCTGATCACTCTAGGTTCTTCTATGCAACTGCGTCCTCAGCAAGTCCACTTGAATGTTTAATAGATACCAAACAGAGCTCATGATTTTTCACCAAAGTCCTGTTCCTTCCCAGTCTTCCCTATAAAAGCAAATGGCACTACCATTCTCCCAATTATTCATCATTCTCTTTTCCTCACAGTCTACATCAACTCCTCAGCAGGACCTACTTCTAAAACAGAACCCAAGTCAGTCCACTTCTCACCTGCTGGGTTATATTACCTAAAGACCTATGTTTCTTTAAAAAGAAAAAGAAAAAACCAGTTACAGATGCTGACAAAGGCAGCATTCATACACATGAAAAAACTGGTTGAAAATCTGTACAGAAAACCAGCAATGATGGTTGCTTAGAAGCCTACTGGATGCATTCATAAGAGATAATTTGGAGCCTGAGAGAGATGGGTAAAAGAAGCTATGAAATGGTAAAGAGTCGATTGAGAAGCAATCATGCTCCAATCTCAGTAACCTTTACCATTTGTGTGACTGAGTCCTCCAACTTCTCTATAAGGAAAAGAACAACTTGGGAGAAAAAAAATTTTTGGCAAAGATTTATTTTTATTTTAGTAGCATTTTCAAATAGGTATGTACCAAGATAAAGGAAATATAAATTTAAAATCTAAAGGAGAGATATATGAATAGTAATTAAGTCACTACATACTGTACAGAGATCCTTATATTGCAGCTTTTGGAATTTTGTGTCTGTGTTTCCTGCACATAGTTCCACATAACCAAGAACAACTTGAAACACGGTGTTGTGAATGGCTTGGGTGAAGTGCATATGAAGTTGATCCATTGCTGTCTGTGGAAAGAAAAAAACGCACAACATAATTTCACATTATTAAAATAAATAAATTTCAACAAATTGAAAAAACCCAGGGAAACATCTTTTCAAATAATAGTTACAACACAAAGATAATAGTTTTCCCAGAATTATACTGGGAAAATTATACTGGGTATATTATTTGCAAATAATCCTTCACATAACCAGATTATCAGAGCACTCAAAATAAATGTGACTCGTGAACACTGCTCTGTTGTTCTTTATTTATAACTGGTATTCATCTTGCTCTTTCTTAAATATGTTGTACACAACCATATCTCTAATTACCCTCTGCATCATTCTGCATGTATTCCTTCTTTTATATCATTCAGTGCACTTCTCAATGGTAATCTTCTCAGGGAACCTTCCATGACTAGCCTATATGAATCAGTACTTTCTATCTCTGCATCCACATACTCTGATTTATATTTCTTTGTAACATTTGTTACTACCTGACATCATATTCATTTACAGGCATACCTCACAAAGCAAATTTTTTTATTTCCCAGTGTATATAAAAGTTACATTTACACTGTTCTATAGTCTAAAGTGTGTAATAGCATTATGTCTTTAAAAAACAACATATAAACCTTAATTTTAAAAAATTGCTAAAATTTAAAAAAATGCTAATAATCATCTGGGCCTTCAGTGAGTCGATCTTTTTTCTGGTCGAGGGTCTTGTCTCAATGTTGATGGCTGCTGACTGATCAGGGTGCTGGTTGCTAAAGGCCGAAGTGGCTATGGCAATTTCTGAAAAGACAACAGTGAAGTTTCCTGCATTAGTTGACTCTTCTTTTCACAAAATATTTCTCTGTAGCATGCGATGCTGTTTGATAGCATTTTATCCACAGTAGAACTTCTTTCAAAACTACAGTCAATCCTCTCAGACCCTGCTGCTGCTTTATCAACTAAGTTTATGTAATATCCCAAATTATTTCTTGTTATTTCAACAATGTTCATGGCATGTTCACTAGTAGATTCCATCTCAAGAAACCACTGTCTTTGCTCATCCATAAGAAGCAATTCTTACATCCATTCAAGTTTTATCATAAGATTGTAGCAATTCAGTCACATCTTCAGGCTCCACTTCTAATTCTACTTCTGTTGCTGTTTCTACCACATCTGCAGTGATTTCTTCCACTGAAGTTTTGAACCCCTCAAAGTCATCATGAAGGTTGGAATCAACTTCTTCCAAACTCCTGCTAATGTTGCTATTTTGACCTCCTCTCATGAATCACAAATGTTCTTAATGGCACCTAGAATGGTGAATCCTTTATGGGAGGTTTTCAATTGACTTTCCTGAGATCCAGCAGAGGAATCACAAATGTTCTTAATGGCATATGGTAAATCCAGACGCTTTTCAATTTACTCTCCCCAGATCCATCAGAATAATCACTATCTATGGTACCTATAGCCTTATAAAATGTATTTCTTAAGTAGTATGACTTGAAAGCCAAAATTACTCCTTGATCCATGTGATGCAGAATGACTGTTATCAGGCATGAAAACAACATTCATCTTCTTGTATATCTCCATCAAAGTCATGGGGGACTAGGTACATTGTCAATAGACAGAAATATTTTGAAAGGGACATTTTTTTTTCTGAGCAGGTGGTCTCAACAGTGGGCTTAACACATTCAGTAGGCCATGTTGTAATCGATGTGCTATCATCCAGGCTTTGTTACTCCACTTACAGAGCACAGGCAGAGTAGATTTAGCATAATTCTTAAGTGTCCTAGGATTTTCAGAATCATAAATGAGCACTGGCTTCAACTTAAAGTCTTCACATGCCTTAGCCCCTAATAAGAGAGTCAACCTGTCTTTTGATGCTTTGAAGCCAGGCATTGACTTATTCTCTGTACCTCTGAAAATCCTAGGTGGCATCTTCTTCCAATAGAAGGCTGTTCCGTGTACACTGAAAATCTGTCTTTAGCATAGCCATCTTCACTAAGCTTAATCATTTCTAGCTTTTGATTTAAAGTGAGAGACATAAAGCCACTGTAGGTTTATTAATTGGCCTATTTTCAATACTGCTGTACCTCAGAGAATAGAAAGGTCCAAAAAGAGGGAGAGAAGGGGGAATGGCCAGTTGGTACAGCGGTCAGAACACACACATTTGTGAATTAAGTTCACCATTTTATATGGGCACAGTCCCATGGACCACAAAACAATTACAATACTAACATGAAGCTCACTAAACACAGATCACCATCCCAGATATAATAATGATGAAAAAGTTGGAAATACTGCAAGAATCATGAAAATCTGACACACAGACATGAAGTACATGCATGCATACTGTTGGAAAAACGGCACTGACAGACTTGCTTGATGCAGGTTTGTCATAAACCTTTAATTTGTAAATAACACAGTATCTGAAAAGCACAATAAAGTGAAGTGTAATAAAAAGATGTATGCCAGTATCCCTCACTAAAAGGTAAGATACATAAAAGCCTATATCCAGACACCTGAAGCAATGTGCGTAGGAGGTACCAAAAATATTTATGGAATTTAAGACTTAATCTTATGAGGGAAATTAGAAGTTATAATCCTATTTTCAAAGGTGTTTAAACATATCCCTCAAAATTGCTAAGTTCTTTCTTCTTAGATTTTTTTCTTGGGTATAGCTTAAGACATGAAAATTAAATTACAATAAACAGTAAAATTTCTTTATTCAGATTTCAAAATGTAGAGTTTAAATTGTTTAGCAAAATCTTAAACTTCCTTCTAAAAGAGGGGACCGTTTAAGGGAAGAAAACATTTACATCTATCACATTAAATGTTGTATAGGTAAACATATAATCCTATACAAACAAAAGATACAATTAACTTTCAAAACCATGGCACCTGTTTCAAGCTTTTCAAGGAAGCCCTTGAACAGTAAGAGTATGAAAAGCCATATATTATGAGAGAAGTTATGACATTTTGGGGATAAAAGGACCCTCTGAAATATGTGATAAATAAAATGGACTTGTTTTACAGATAAAGGTACAAAATGTACAATGCTGACATATCATTTTGAGGGAGTCATGCTGGCTATCTAACAACACGTGAAGCTGCAAATTAGGAAGTCCTGTTTCAGAACCAAGAGCTGAGTTAAAAGAGACTACATGTTGTCTCCCACTGAATTATCTTATAATATACTTATTGGAAAATCTACATAAAATTGTGAAAATATTAAACCTGACAAGTACTTCATAGTTCAAAACAAACTACTGTAATGTTTTAACCACATTATATACCCTCTGAGTCTACAAGAACAACCATTTTATCACTGTTAATTCAGAATAAAAATGTACTTCGTTAAATAAAACTTTTTAAGGACATGAGATTAATAATATTCAGACTTAATCATGAAGGACAACAAATTCCTGATTAAGGAAAAATCCAAACATCCTTTTGTAACAAACCTGTGTTTTTCCAAGAAGTCGATAAGCTTGTTGAACCTTGGTATAATGGTTAATGTCAAAATTCTTGCAGATTTTGGAAAGAGCTACGTCCAGCTGTTCCTATATAATTAAAAGAAGAAGCAAGACATGGTTAAGGAATTATGTTTTCAAGGCAATGAGAAGAAAACATTAAGACTAATTTCTCACTTTTAGTTAACATTTAAATACATTTACTATCATACCAGATTTAGAAGTCAAAAACAAATTTAAATAAAGTTATAAATTGCAATTGTAAATTTATTAGCAACTATAATCAAGTTTACCAAGATATTAACATGTGAATTTCTATGCCTTAAAACCCATGCCTAGTGTTTTACAGGAAACAAAATAATAGTTTTGTAATGAATCTTACTCTTACTACTACTTAATGTTTCCTCAAGCATCTGCTAAAATCTTATATAAACTGAATTTGTGGGACTACTGGAGAACAATAAAACAATCTTTCTCTAATCAACGAAAAGGAATTCTCAACAAAACTACATTGAATTTAAAAGTATATTCCTCAAGGTTTAAGCTCTTTTATCTAAATTACCATGCTTTATGGATTTCTTTTTCAATGATTTTACTTTGAAATAAGAGTTTTTAATATAAATACAGAATAATATCTATTAAAAGTGAAGAAATCCTGGGCTCTCAAAAGAAAGCCTTCATTAAAATATTCAGGGAATTGTTAACTTAAGCCACTCAAAGCAGTTGTTTCTGTGACTATCAAATAAACTGTCATTCTCACAATTATTTAATAGCAAATAATTGCATTTGTGGTCAAAAATTACTTTCTCAAAAGGTAATTTGAAAGTCCAATCTCAACTTTTATAAATACTCTTATCAGGAAAACAATAAAAGACTAGAAGAAACCAAATACAAATAATTCTTATTTATTAAAATGAATACCCTCCTTTGCAAAGATTGTCAAGGAAAGAGATGAATTTTGAATATATGTAACAGGCAAAACATGCTTCATGCTCATAATTACATATCTCTTCCTTTTTAGTTTCTACGTTTTTGATGAACTATGTGAGTATCATTATGAGGTTTAGGAATTTTGGAGGGTTTTCATCAGCCAATAATTACTTACAGGTAAATTAACTCACTATACTAAACAATAAAGTAACTGATAATTAAAATATAATTAATACATAGAAAGTATTTTGGCTATTATATAATTTATATGAGAACACACCTATGACTAATAGTTTGGAAATTTTTCTTGGAAATGGCAATATTTTCAAATGCTGTTTTGAGATCCCATAATTTACAAGTAAATTTTTACACTAACTTGACCATAAATAGATATTCCAAATGAAAATCAAGAAATACAGTGATCTAGAGACATTGGTAATAACATAAAAGCCAAAACACAATGTTGCACCTAGGCTATTCAAAAACTTCTGAAAAGAAAAACTCATTAAGGTTAGGATATAATACTTCTTACCTCAATCTGTTCCAAAGTATCTTGCAGCTTTGAATTCAGTTCACTATTAAAAAAAAAAAAAACAGTTTTTTTCTATTTCTGAGACAAACTAAGTGCTAAATAAATACATACTAACTGAATAATTAATCCATAAATTCAAAGATTAAGAGTATAGATCGTAAGACATGCTGCTGAATTCTACATATAGACAATGCAATAAGAAAAAGTATTAGAAGGGAATAAGAGTCATTAGCAGCAGCAACAGGATTGCGTGAGTAGAAAGAAAGAATCTACAGATAAAAATAAAAAAACTGAAGAATTAAAATTGGTAACTTTTACATAAACAGTGTGTCTATATAAACAATGTTTGTGTGTTTAACAGCCAATTGAATATCCTCTTTCTCAGTGATCTGAAGACTTTTGCCCTTTATTTTTATTCTATCTGTCCCAAGTGTATTGGTCATTCAGGAAATGCAAATTAATACTATAAAAACACTGTAACGAATGAAAAAAATGGCTAAAAATATTTTTAAAAAATTAAAAATGACACCACCAAATGTTGGCAAGGACGTTGAGCAAACAGAACCACTCATCTGATGCTAGAGGAAGGGGAAACTGATATAACCTCTTGGAAAACCCTAATATCTACTGAAACAACACACACTCTACCTCCCAGCAGGTCTAGTCCTGGATACATACTGAACAGAAAAGCACACAGAATCCTTGCAGCATTATTTTTAATAGGCAAAAACCTGAGGCAACACAATTGTCTAGAATAATTAGATAAGCAAAATGTGATACATTCATAAAATAAAATCCTATAGCAATTAAAATTTATGTGAACCACAAAAATATGTTTGGCAAAAGAAGTCAGTAAAAAATAGTATATACTGTATGCTTCCATTTATTTAAAGTTCTAAACAAGCAAAACTAATTTTGGTGACAGAAGCCAGAACAGCGCTTACCTTAGAAGAATGACTGGGATGAGACATGCGAGAAGTTTGTGGGGTGTCAGAAATACTCTGTTTCTACTTCTAGGTGGTAATTACATAACTATGTTTACTTTATAAAAGCTTACTGAGTTATACTCATACACTTAGGACACGTGATTGAATCTAGATTTTTCCCCCTTTAATTCTTACGAGGTCAGTAAAAAAAAAAAATCAATAGAACTAACATTATTTGAATTTTATCTCACTACTAAAAAGGATGTGATGTCTAACAAAATAAATGCAATCACAGAGAACATATTTTAACAAGAAAGAATAAAACCTCATTGTTCTTAAAATAGTACAAACAAGTGAAAGACGTTTAGCACACCAAAATCAAAGGTTTTTAAAATTGCTATCTACTGATAATAAACTTGACTCTCAAATTCCTAGCAGCCAAAGCAAATAGGGAGGGCCATAGTACTTAATCCAGTGTCTATAACAGAAGAACATACCAGTAGCTCAAAGGGGAAAAATAAATCAAAACAAAAATATAAAAAATCACTTTTGTTTGCATTAAGTTCTGAGAGAAAATTTTGCCAGTGTCTTGATCTCCAAAGGCACAACCCCCTGACAATATCCTTACAATACATACAATAATGGGTTCCTTGCATTTGCTTCTTATAGAGCCTTTCAAGGCAAGCTACAGAGATAATACCAGAGTGAGATATAGATAGACATAGATAGCAATCTGTCAGAAAAGTAAAACCAATGTAATACAAGCACACAGTTTTTGATGCTCTCAATGATAAATGTCCAAACATCTAGAGGAATTAGATCATTTTCTGCAAATAGTATTTATCATAAGCATACTTTGAACTGAAGTTGAGGACTGGAGAGTATATTCTCTAGTAAAAACTGGAAGTGAGCAAAACTATATCCTTTGACAATTAACAGTGTAGGACTGATACCTTATTAGAAAAATTAAGATCTCTAACCAGGATTTGTGCCTGAAATATCAGACATAGATTAAGGGAATACTTGCAGGTAGGACTGAAATTTCCTTAAAAAAATAATTCTAGGACAACTCCTGCCAAAAAAATAATGAATGGATAAATAAGTGAATGAAGAATGAAAACTATTGTCCCCAAAATAATTCCCCCAAAAGGATAGCTATGGCAGTATCTTAACACTTTCAAATAATTAAATAAATCCTCACCCAACCACAAGAAAAGCAAAACAAAACAAATCAGTATCTTCTCTCCCTCAGAGCTGTTCCTTCTCCCATGTTCTCTGTCTCAATTCACAGCATCACCACCTACTCAAATAAAGCTGAAAATCTCAGCGTCATCTTGCATTCTTCCCTCTCTATATGTAATTAGTAATCAAATCCTGATGATTCTACCATTTCATTTCAGTATTTCCCATATCCACCTGTGATTATCTTTTCTCAATTCTATGTCCTAATTCAAGCATTATCACCTTTTGCTTAGGGAATATAAATCATTCTGTTATAAAGATACATGCACGTGTATGCTCACTGCAGCACTATTCACGATAACAAAGACATGTGAATAGCAAAGACATGTGAATAGCAAAGAAATGGAGTCAACCCAAATGCCCATCAATGACAGACTGGATAAATAAAATGTGGTACATATACACCATTGGATACTATGCAGTCATAAAAAGGAATGAGATCATGTCCTTTGCAGGGACATGGATGAAGCTGGAAGCCATTATCTCCAGCAAACTAATACAGGAATAGAAAACCAAACACCACATGTTCTAACTTATAAGTGGGAGATGAACAATGAGAACACATGGACACAGGGAGGGGAACAACACAGTGGGGCCTATCAGGGGATGGGTGGGAAGAAGAGCATCAGGAAAAATAGCTAATGCATGCCAGATTTAATACCTAGGTGATAGGTTGATAGGTGCAGCAAACCACCATGGCACACATTTACCTATGTAACAGACATGCACATCCTGCACATGTACCCGGAACTTAAAATAATGAAAAAAAAAATAGCTTCCTAATGAATCTGCATATGTAACACACCTATTTTAATCAATCTATCCATTTATTTGACAAACACCATCAACCAAACATTGTACAACATCCTTCAAAAAGCTGTCAGAAACAGCTCTGAGCAGGGGTCTAACTTCACATTGGATTTGGTCAATATTCTATATGATTTGGCAGACACAGTGTTGTCAAAAGGCTTTATGCAAGGCAAGTGCTATCTAGTCCTGTGGGCTCTACCATTTCCTATGGTCTTACATCTGGCAGCCTCACATTTATATGACCTGCCTGGTCCCTAAAGACATCTGAGCGCAGCTCTTAAGTAAAGCAAAAATAAAACCACATTAATCTCCTGCTTTAAATCTTTTGGTGGCTCCCTATTAAACTAACGAGAAAAGCCCCAAATTAGTATGGCATGTAAGACCTTTAACAATCTGACATGAAAAAAATAACTTCACATAGACTTCTTAATGCCTATATTTTAGACATACGTACTGTGCACAGCACCTGAACCAAACTCCAGACTTTCACACCCTCAGTTCTTGTACATAGTGCTCACAATAACTTGAATATCCTTTCTTCCTTTCTCACTCACAAACATCCATCTATCTTTCCAGGCTTAATTCGAATACCATATTCTCTGGGAAGTCCTTCCCTGCTAAGTAACTACCCCCACAACCTTCATAATACTCTGTTTACGAATTCCTGTACTACAGTAAGGAATACCTGTGGCTGTGTCTCCAAGGCACAAGTGTTTAAGGCACTGTGGCTTACTCACCAGTGACTCCCCAGAACTAAATTTACTACCTAACTCAGAGCAGGTAATAAATATTCTAAGTCAAATTTGTAATTGAAAGAAAAATGGTAAAATTTTGCCATCATTCCATTAGCCCCTATTCTCTACCTCAATAAATAAAACTACAGAGACAGCAGGAAAGGGAAGAGAATGTTTTAGAAGAACCACACTGAACTCTGGTCTGCAGGAGCCTTAGCAAGAAAAGAGAGATGAGTAAGAGTTAAAGACAGTTCCTCTATCATATGGAGTTCAAAATTTCACCCAAGGCTGATCCTAGAGTAACAGAAGCAGAGAGGCAAGGACAAGTGGAATAATGAGTAATTCAGAACTGATAAACATTTTCCTTTAGGGAATATTTTGAGTCTGGAGGAAAAAGAAATATATCTGAATTCATTCACAAGTGAAAGCAACGATTTCTTCAGCTTCTCTATCAAAACAAATGGGCTTTAGTGTTGGTTTATGAAATTATAATAAACCTAGATGTTTTTATGGCTGTTATTAAAGGTAAGTAATTCTATATCCCATTTATTAAGATTTAATGCAAATGTGGTAAGGTAAACAGCATATGGAAGACTACAAACATAAAAATCTATAAATCAAAAATTGGCTTTCATTAAAAATGCTTTCAAAATGTACAACTGCAATTTGACAACAATTTACTACTAATTAAAAATACATATATAAAAGTTATGTGATTAAATAGTGGACATTAACTGTACAGCTTTTAAAGAAGCTCTTAGCCATCATTTAGAAACATGAATTCAATCCATTTTGATCAATTAATTAAAGTATGTTAAAAGGATCTATTCATAAACACTTTGATAAATAAATGCAACATTATGGTCAAGAAATTACCAGTTCTAAGATGGAAGGCTAAAAGCCTTTAAAAGCGGTCTGCAAGCTGAATGGAACGAATCAAACAATTCTGCAAAGGGTTTTTACCATCACTACAGGAAATATTAGGAATAAATTATCCATAAAGAACCAATTAATAGTGTTCTTTAAACAACTAATCTAGGACACACATACACTCACAAGAATGAGTCCTAGAAAGGTTGCATAGAAATAAAGATTTTGAACAAATCTGACTATACAAAAAGACAAGATGGCACAGCGATAATATCTTAATGATCTTTCCCTGGTCTGTTATTAATGAACCATATGATTTAAGTCAAGTCCTTTAATATCTCTGGGCATCAGTTTCCTACATAAAGGTGGGCCAGATAGAAAGGGTTGCTTCCAGCTCTAATGTTTCATGATTCTATTATATGCTGAAGACGAGTTACTCAATTGCCCAATTTGTACATGGTTCAGTAAAGTTATAAAACTTTTAGAATGAGCTTAAGTAAATGTACTTCCAAGTTTATACTGTATCTCCATGGCCCTAAGACACTGACGTTCCAGTCTGTTTAAATCAGAGCCTATTCCAGTGGTTTTCAATCTACTTACAGGAAGCAGAGAATTTATCAGCAGACCTCAGAGAAACTGATTTTTCAACATTCTAAAGTTAAACCAACAACTCTTAAGTACCATGAAGTGTCTATGTGATCCTTCAAACCATATATAACCAGGCTATAACAGAATTCCTAAGATCACTTTGGATCTAACTAGATGTCTGTCTTCACTTAACTTCACTTAACTCTGTTAATAAATCCCTGACCTTGCCCAGGCGCAGTGGCTCACGCTTGTAATCCCAGCACTTTGGGAGGCTGAGGCAGGTGGATCATCTGAGGTCAGGAGTTTGAGACCAGCCTGGCTAACATGATGAAACCCCATCTCTACTAAAAATATTTAAAAAATAGCCGGGTGTAGTGGCGTGTGCCTGTAGTCCCAGCTACTCAGGAGGCTGAGGCAGGAGAATCACTTGAATCAGGGAGGCAGAGGTTGCAGTGAACCGAGATTGTACCACTGCACTCCAGCCTGGGTGACACAGTGAGACTCTGTCTCCAAAAAAAGAAAGAAAGAAATCCCTGACCTAATCTATCACCACAAAGCTCAGAGTCCAATAATAATATGTTCAAAACATCTCCAACTTTATTAACTGTAATTCTAGATCACAGATCGGAACCCACAGGCCAAATCCAGCTGGCAGTCTGTGTTTCTAAATAAAGTTTTAGTAGAACATAGCCACAACCGTTTGTTTACTTTTTGTCTACAGCTACTTTCAGACTACAAAGGCAGAGTTGAATAGTTGCAACAGAGACGTATGGCATGTAAAACCTAAAATATTTACTATCGGGCCTTTTAAAGACAGTTTGCCAAGCCCATGCTAGAGTTCAGCAGAACTTTTAGTTGGTGAACTGATAAAAGTTAAAACAGGAAAGAGATATATGTGTGTATATGTGTCTGTATATATATATTATGTATATATTTTTTAATTATTTTTAAAAAATTAGTAAGCTGTAAAAGTGGTTTACTCCAGGGATTAGGAAAGTGACGGGTGAATGGGGCAGAAAGAAAACTGTTTGCTTTTTATTTAAAACCCTCTTGTTTATTAGGATTTTTGTCATGTGAAACTATTATTTTACATTATTTAAAACAGCACAGCATGGCAGAGGGAGGCAGAGAAAAACAAGTTAAAATAGAAGATGAGGAGTGCAGGTGTTATCAAAACTTGGTCCAAGCTGACCAACCAACAAGCACTCAGGATCTAGACAATGGATCAAGCTAGAAGGCCTGGCAACCTAGCAGAAACAATCAATGTTCAAACATTACTCAAGGCAGGGCTCCTTATGTCCCTGACCTTAGAGGAAGAAAGCAGGCACACCTTGCTATAAAGAAATTAATGCAATAGGGGAAGAAAAGTTCCCAGTATTGCTATATTTGTCAGCTGTGTTCATTTGCCATATGACGTAAAGACATTCTACAACCTACAATTTTCACTAAACTACCAAGATCATATTCTGAGAAAAAATGAAGGAATTCTTGAAAGATTATGAGACATTTAATGCATCTGTTTATGTTAAAGTACAGTACTCAAGAAACTAGTTCAGCAGTATGCAAACCTTACAGTGCATAATACAAAAGCTATCAGGCTCCCTCAAGTAGTTTCTTTCAAATGAAATACAATAATAAAGCAGTTTTGACTTTTAAAATTAACTTTCCTTGAAACAAATTGAGACAAATTTCAAGTGAAAAAGAAATTAAGTACTTCATTCATAGATGCACTTTAGCATAAACACATTCTGATTCTTATTCTCAATAAATCCCAACTATATGACTCTCTGTCAATCAACTCAGGAAATATCAAACAATGTAAAAATGTTCTCTCAGTTATAAAAGTGAACAAAACTGGGATTACTGTATCTTTTATTAAAGATGCTGAAACATGGCACATCTTAAGGAAGACAGGTGCAGAGGAAGTGCCACTTCTGTTTCATTTTTCAACCAACTGGGTGCATCATTATATGATAATCATTCCTCAGTCTATGTGGGGGATTATTCTGAGACCCTCCATAGACATCAAAATCCACGGATACTCAAGTTCTTTATATAAAATGGCACAGTACTTGCATATAACCTATCCGCATCCTCCTTATACTTTAAATCATCTTGATTACTTATAATGTCTAATACAATGCAAATGTATGTAAACAGTTATATTGTATTATTTTTTATTTTTATTATTTTTATGATTGCATTGTGATTTTTGTGTTGTATTGTTATTTTTGTTGCTGTTTTTTCTTTCCAAATATTTTCCATTTTCAGCTGGTTGAATCCAGAGACACAGAACACATGGATACAGAGAGCCGATTATACTTGGCATTTCATGTATTAAACTACCTAGTCATATAATCTGAGACTTACAAGATATAGAGTCAGTATTTCTTTATGCAGAAGCAAATATGTAAATTGTTTTTCCTATTTTCAGAATCATAAGAGTCAGTCCTAAGTTTTTCCATCTCAGCTATTCCAAGTAACTCTCCTTAGAGAGTTTGCACTCTACCAAAAACAAAAACCTTATTTCCAATAAAGGAGTGATGTGACTAGGAAAGAAAAGAGGAACACATAATCTGCCAAGAAAAAATTAACAAGTAGACAAGTAGGTATACTGTGCATATAAACTTGCTTAAAATATTTTTTAAAAATCACATCAGAATTCAGAAATATTCTATATCATGGGGTGATTCTCTCAAAAATCATTTCTAAAAGGAAAACATTTATGATTCTCTAGTTATCAACAAGAATTAGAATAGATATAAATGTTTTTAAAATTGAGAATATATAAATTCAGTTGGAAGTTAATTACTGCTCCTAAGATTACTAGAATGTAAAATGCTTATTCACTCTAATTCACTCATGTCCAAGCAAAGATTAAATCTTGCCTTCGGCTAAGTTCCACAAGCCCAAGTCAATTAAATACATTTTAAAAGTGTGGATGAATCCTGTATGAGTAGGCCCAACTAGAGAGCTCAAGAACAGGTGCAACACTGTACTGGGAAGACCAGAGGAAACAGAGCAAAAGAAAGAAAAACGCACAGAAAAAAAAACAAAAAAAAAGAGGTGTATCTAATTTATAAAGACAAAAATAAAAGAATGTTAGAATAACAATGTCTTTTATCTTTGTGGACTCAACGTGACCCACATGTCAACTAACTCTATCCTTATATCCCACATTATATCATCTACAAAAGAAGTGAACAAACTTATTATGTTCTCCCATATAAACAAAAGAGTGAAACAACAGGTGAAGTGAAAGAGGGAATGGTGTTAGGCAGGTGAATGGTGGCTGGCAAAGGATACTGTGCTGGTATGGGGTGGAGAAGAAATGCTAGCGGAGGGGCTATCATCACCACCAGACAGCTCCAACTGATAGCCCTGCTCTCTGAGTCACCCTGACACTGTCACTAAATCACCAAGTTAAAAACACAACTTTATCTAAGTTTTCCTAAGATACCTAAAGTAAAACCCCATTACAAAGAATTTCTTGGGATATCTGAATGTATGTGTGATGTACTTTTACCTATTTGCAGAGAATAAGACCAATTCTTCTTATTATCACATGCATGACTCACATATCTAAACATAGCATGCTTCTTATACACTGTATTACCTAAAATAACTATTAATTTAAATCTTTTCCATTTCAACCTTTTAACCTCATTCGATAACTGTAGCCACACCTCCTCCACATATCAGTATATCCATTAATTTAAAAAGTGCTGAGAAGCCACTTGATATCAATTTTTAAAAGCCCAAATAAGAATTTCTTTCAAAGACATTTTTTACAGTTAACACTCATCATGTAAGACATTTACTTTAGCATAGCTAAAATAGATTTTTAATTATATAAAAGTTTCAACACATCACCTGCTCCCTCAATTTCCTGCCACCAAATTCCACGCTCATTCTTTCCTATTATAACAGACAGTGACCTTTTCAAAGTCAATCTCTGCTATAATCCCTGCAAAGCCTTAGTATATTATTATGCTATTTTATTTTCAGCTTCTCACTCTCTCCTACCAATTTTCCAATATTGAGGTTTCCTCTTCTTAATTCTGCATCTGTCCTCATCACAAAATTTCCTCACCTTACACTTGATAGTTCAACCAACTCCCACCAAATCTGTCCCCAAAAGGTCAACTATGACTTCTTTGTTGCTATAAATCCAATAGATACATATTTTCAGTCTTCATTTTGCTTGGTAACTCCGCAACAAAGATTTCATTTCTGGTGTAGACAGTTTCCTATTCACAACTCTCATATCCTGGCCTACCTCAAGTCTTCCTGCTCCTCGTTCAGGTCCTCCTTAGTCTTGATCCCGGAAGGAGAGTTAGATCCGAATGCTTCCACTGTATGCACAACTTCCTTCTCTCTACAGCCTAATTTCTTTTTTTTTTTTTTTTTTTTTTGAGACGGAGTCTCGCTCTGTGGCCCAGGTGGGAGTGCAGTGGCGCAATCTCGGCTCACTGCAAGCTCTGCCTCCCAGGTTCACGCCATTCTCCTGCCTCAGCCTCCCGAGTAGCTGGGACTACAGGCGCCCGCCACCAGGCCCGGCTAATTTTTTTGTATTTTTAGTAGAGACGGGGTTTCACCGTGTTAGCCAGGATGGTCTCGATCTCCTGACCTCGTGATCCGCCCGCCTCGGCCTCCCAATGTGCTGGGATTACAAGCGTGAGCCACCGCGCCCGGCCTACAGCCTAATTTTATGGGTGCCTACTTTAATATAAGTCCTTCTTGATAGATTATGTTCTTTATGAAACCAAGGATTATACTGATTACACTGTATGTGGTTTATCACCATACTGACAATTTCAAAGCAAAGTACCTGGCATAAACACTCTGTAAACTGCCTGAATTATTTTCACCCAATAAGCTGTTACTATATAACAGATTTATCACTACAAAATGAACTAAATGGATGCTTTGGTTCAAATGGATTTGCTTTTTCAGGACCCAGAATGGCTTGTTGGAAATCTCTAAATACATTCAACACACTAAAACTAATTCTCTATTTATTTAACCTAATAAGTGTAAATGACATCGTCAAGTTTCTACTAATGACAGTTAATCACTCTCAAAATGGACAAAATGAAAGTATCACTGGTACTACTCAATTTATATCCTAACCAAATAAAAAATGTGTTAACTTCAAGCTGGGCGCGGTGGAGTTAGAGACCAGCCTGGCTGACATGGCAAAACCCCATCTCTACTAAAAATACAAAAATTAGCCGCGCATGGTGGCGTGCACCTGTAATCCCAGCTATTCTGGAGAATGAGGCAGGAGAATCGCTTGAACCCAGGAGGCAGAGGTTGCAGTGAGCCAAGATCACGCCACTGCACTCCAGCCTGGGCGACAGAGTGAGACTCCATCTTTAAAATAAAAAACAAACAAACAAACAAACAAACAAAAAAACATGTAACTTCAATCTGCACATTTTAAAGAAAAAAAAAAACCATAGAGACTTAAACAGCATTTCTGGGAGGAAAATATCTAGCCCTTAGCCTATAACCAGCAAAGACTTGTAATATGAGATAATTTTTTAAAAATTAATTCAAACTTATATTAATGTTTTGCTCTATTATAATTCTTTTAGTTTTCAGGTACTAGCAATCAACATCTACAACAACAGTGAGTCATGCTCACTGAATGTCAGAATTTCCATATAGGAGAGACAAAGGGGATGCAATCTGGGATGGGTATGAATTTAATTCGAAACTAGATTTGTTTGGCAAGCACACTATTTTACTTAGATTGTACATTTATTTGTGATGGCTCTAGAGGAATGTTGGAAATTACACCTAGGGATTAGAGCTTCCCCAAGACTGTCACAAGCAATGCAAATCCTTCATTTTAAGCAAACCAAAATGCTATTAATAAAGTTAGAGATAATAGCAAAATATGCAGTGGCTATTTTTCTGTTGTATATTTAATAATAAACAAAAGACATAACACATTGAATACATAATCACTTAACTATTACAAACATTATTATTATATAAATTGAAACCATACTTAAATTTTCCAAAAGACTTTTTATCATGATGAGCCAAACACTTGAACCATCTGGATCTCCAAAACAAGCTGCAATAATATCCTCAATATTTATAAGCTGGGCAAAGTTAAGGAAGAATTCCCAAGAGATGCATTGGAGATATGAACAGATAATTTATTCTTGTCTACAACTCTATAAAAATAGAATCAGTTGGATTGGAAAAAATATGAAAAATGAGTTTCAATGAGGTGACAAGAAAAAGCAGGAATGAAAAGTATCTGATCTTTCACACCTTAAAGCCTATTATTTATAATTTTATTGTACTGCCCATATATAAATATGAATGTTAAACTAGAACACAACACTTTATACTAATTTTCAATGTTTATTAACATTTTTACACAGCTGCTACATAAGAAGCTGACAACAGAATCTGCTTTAAAACATTTACATGACCTTACCTTATACAACTGTAATGTTTAAAAGTGCTGGCAGCTTTTTGACATTCAAGGCACAACTGAATAGCTCCTGGATAATCTTCCTCCTTAAGGTAACAACAACAGGAGTCATTGGAATAGAAACATTTTTTCTTAAAGCCCCTGATAAAAAAAAATCTCTGTTCATATTCTAACCAAAAGTTACAGAATCAAAAAACTTTAATTCCTCTTAGAATATCAATGATAGATAAGTGACAAAATATAAGAGGCAACTAGTTCCAGGCCTAAAATATATACATAGAAGAAATATTTAAAATATTCTATTCCTTCAAAGTAACAGCCCCCTGAGACCATTTCCATGACTTATGGATAAATCCTACATTAAATCATTAGCTGCTTCACAGGAAAGGTTTTCTTTAACTGTTAACATATCTTCTTTCAGTACTGCCTACATAAAATGTTTCAAAATAGTATGCATTCTATTTGTAATTGATAGTCAACAATTTACCACCAAGAAATCAATAAATAGTTCTAAAGAAATAAATTTAGAAAAAAAACACTAATTAATAAACTCAGAGTATTTTTATCACCTAACAGTAATTTAATGCCCAATGAATTTTTCATATGGGTTTCTGAAACCCTAGTTAGCAGTAATAGTTGAGAAGTAATAAAACAATTATACAGAAAACCACAAAAACTTTTCCCTATGCTCAATTCTAAATTCAACAGATGCAATTCAAACCACTGGTGATGCTGATAATGACAAAGTACCTACCCCAAGGAGCTCAAGTATTATGAGGAGACACACATATTACATTATGCTTTGGTGAACCTTATGACAGAAGTAGACAGAAAATGCTAAGAATGCATCAAAGAAAAAACATATGGCTCACTCAGAAAAGCAATTAATACATGATACTGAACAAAACTAAAGTATCACACATTCCTTAAATTACTACTATATGTTAGATGAAAAAGATGTTAATTTTTATTGCTATTTGGACGCAATACAAACAAGTTAACATTCCAATGTTATCAGAAGATAAATGTTTTCCCAAATACATTTGCTTTTCTAAATGAAGTAATATCATGTCAATAGAAAAAGGCTCCAGAGCAAGAATCTTTGACGTCTAAAAATCTTACATGTCTAAAAATATTCTTTATATCATAAACCCATTTGAGAAAAATGCACTTCTGAATTTTGTCTGCTTTACTGTTTCTATATATCAGTAGGACCCTAAATTTCCAAAACTTGTTAACTTACCTCCAGCATTTCACTTAACCGTACATCTGTTCTTTGCTGAAAAAACAAAAATCAAAGGTAAAATCTGTTTCAACCACAAAATTCAGTTTTAATTTTTTTAAATGACCCATATATACCAATGTTTTTATAGTTCTCAGAGATTTCAGAAGTCCAATCAGCAACTGACGTTTCCTTTGATTTGCAAGAAGGCCTAAACTAGCTTGAGTAAAACCTTCCTTTGCAATATTCAAGTGTCTGCAAAAGTGAACAATAAATAGTTAAAAGTTTTTTATTATAATAAGAATACTATCCACACAGAACAATTAGGTAACTAATGAAGCAGTGAAATGGATTACTATTAAAACCAAGGATTTAAACTACTATTTGACAAATGTACTCAATGGCCAGTCTAAACCAGCATTACTCAGAACACCACGAGAAGATTGGTGCCAATTCACAACCTGCTAGTGGTCTATAACAAAAAATTACAGAAACTGAGAATAAGCGCTTAAAAACACAGTGCAAAAACTGACAGAATAATTATTCTTTGTGACTCTAATAATTAAAAAAATTAAGACTGTATTATGTCTTTCCTTCTTTATTTCATTTGCCTAGTAATTTGTTTTTACTGCATTTTTAAAAAATCACAGCCTGTAACAGATTGGAAATTTTAGAAAGAAAAAAGTAGGTGCTTTACGACAAACAGTTTGTGAAGCACTAGTCTAAATAATATAAAAATAGTAATTTTTTAAAACCCATAAGTACACTTAGAGATATTTCCCACAAACCCTCTTAGTGTAGTCTTTAGATCATGATATATGTTCACTTAAGGAATGATATTCTAGAAACCACATCCATAATTTAAAAAATCAATTATAAATTATAGATTCCATAGTTATTCTTGAAATATTGTTCAGCTTAAAGAACAAAATATCATCAAAAGCAATACCTTCTCCCATTTGTACAGATAACAGCAGCTAATTGAAGACCTGTCTGCAATGAGGTAACTCTTTCAAGTTCCTATGGGAAGATTAGGTACAGGTTATTGTTGGAGGTATTTTATTTTTCTTTCTTATTTATATAGTACTCTAACAAAAACTCTAGTCAGATGCAAAGAAAACCTGCTTGAAAAACAAAGTAGCAACAAAAATACCTGAACTTGAAAACTATTAGTATATTTTTCACAAAATTATTTAAAATGACTACTTGTAACTGATTTTCACAATGACAGATGACAAAATATTTAGTCAGTATTGCTTGTAAGGAAATCTAGACCCAACTTCTTGTAGACAGGAATAAACAAATACCAGTAATATATCTGTTTAAATTCCTACCCAAGAGAACTTCACAAGGTAATTAAAGGATATGACAAATATGATTTCTGTTTACTAAGATGCTTTGACAATGAAAGTCGTCATCTGAACATTGGTAGACATTTCAATGGATTTTGAAGGCTCTGATTTTCCGATGAAAACACAGATTCAGTTAGACAGTACCAATTTTATCATATTTTAAAGCCAGATTGTTATATTGCCAATGAGTGGTCAATATTGGTGAATCTATTTGTTTAAATGTTAATGGGAGCAATTTTCACTGGCTCTTCTAAAGTTTGAAAAACCCAAGAGATCACTTTAGAATCATATATAAAAACCCTTCGCTTCTTCAGTTTGGTAAATTACCCCAAAAGAAAAAGAAAAATATACATACATACATATACACAAACACACCCAAAAACAGTCAATATGCTGCTACAGAATTATTGACAAAAAATACAATATTTTAACAGTTTCAAGTGTAAATCACTCAAACATTTAAAAATTCTACTACAAAAAATAACAAATATTATCCTACCTTTACATAAGCAGGCTGTTTTTCAAGGATTAAATCTGCCACTTTTTTAGATACCTATAAGAAGATGTAATCAAACAAAGGAAATAAAAGAACAAACTTCATGCTTTCTATGATATTTTATATTTGAATTTTTAAAAGAATATTCCATAGATCTCCCCAATAACTTTGGGAGCAGATATTGGCATACTATGGCCATACACATTTCCCTGGGCTATGAAATTAGTAAAAGAGGTAATATAATAAAGCACATAGCACAGGTCCTGGTCCTTAACAGAAACTCAATAAATGGTCATTATTATTGTTAATAATATGTGTATCATTATCTGATTTAAGTAACATTAACCAAAAAGTGTAACCATCTTTAAGGGAATAGGATTTGATTGAAAAAGATGAAATTGTTAAGCAGATTTTTAATCAACTGAATTTATGGCGACAATATCTGGGAAAAAGAACTTGCTTGTATCCTTTAGATCCTTTATGTTGCCTAAGAAGACAAGCAAGTAGTTTGGTCCTCCACTTCTGAAAAGCTGAAAACATGTTTTTTGGAACGCTATGAAGATATCTAAGGTTGTGTGTATTGTTCTATGAATAATATTAACGTATGCAAGTTAGAAGTATAATGATTTTTGAACATGAGGCTCTAATTCCACCATTTCAGGGTCTCTGCCAACTTCACTAACAGAGATAGCACATGAGGCATGAAGCAGGACACACAGAAGGTATTTAGGGAGTTTGCTCCAGAAACACAACTGGCTCCCCTTCCCCAGGCCAACTGAGAACAAAACATTGAACACCCACTACACTACTGCATTAATCCTTTCACATTTTCTTAATCTGCTTCAAGCATCTTTGAAATTACGTACATTAATTTTTAGATACACTCATTGTTTTTGTCTAGAAAGAGGGATTCCATTAAGGTTAAGAAAATCAAATTTTAAATGGCTTTTAGACTTTAATTAATGAAGAAATATCAATGTTAATCCTAAATATCATTTTAAGAATTCCAAAGGTTCCACAGGATTGTCTACTAATAGAGAGTACTGGTCCGTGGCCTGTGGGGAACCAGGCTACACAGCAGGAAGTGAGTGGCAGGTGAGCAAGCGAAGCTTCATCTGTATTTACAGCCGCTCCCCATCACTTGCATTACAACCTGAGCTCCACCTCTCATCAGATCAGCGGTGGCATTAGATTCTCATAAGAGCTCTAACTCCATCCCTACTGTGAACTGCACATGCAAGGAATCTAGGTTGTGTGCTCCTTATGAGACTCTAATGCCTGATGATCTGTCACTGTCTCCCATCAGATGGGACCGTCTAACTGCAGGAAAACAAGCTCAGGGATTCCACTGATTCTACATTATGCTGAGTTGTATAATTATTTCATTATATATTATGATGTAACCATAATAGAAATAAAATACACAATAAATGAAATGCACTTGAATCATTCTGAAACCATCCCTACCCCACCCCTGCCAGTCCATAGAAAAATTGTCTTCCACAAAACTGGTCCCTGGTGCCAAAAGAATTGGCAACCACTGCTCTAGAGCTCAAATCCCTTCTCCTGCCCAAGACTGCCCTATACCACCACTGCTACCTCCAAGCAGACCCTAGCACCCACTGAGACTTCTGAGTGTAATAGAAAAGTATACCTTCCTTTGTTTGACAGTTGCATTATTAAAAATCATATCTTAAATTCAAACCGATAAACTTATTACTACTGGTCCTTTTGTTGAAAAAAATTAATACACATGCTACCATTAATTAATCCCTACAGTAGAGTTTGAATTTCATAAAGTGGGTTTAGCCTAACATAAAGAAATTATACAATCAGAGAATTTTACCGCATTAAAGAAAATGCAAGCCTATCACTTTACTGATAAACAAAAGGGAGTCACTGAGGTTAAATGATTTACTCAACATCATAATTAGTGACTACAATTCAGACTTTCTGAATCTCAGGGGGACATTAATTCTGAGAGAATACTCCATTACAGGGCCAGGCAAAGTGGCTTGCGGCTCTAATTCCAGTGCTTTGGGAGGCTGAGACAGGAGAATCGCTTGGGCCCCAGAGTTCAAGACCAGCCTGGGCAACAGTGAGATGTCATCTCTACAAAACGTTAAAAAAATAGCCAGACTAGTGGCACATGCCTGTAATCCCAACTACTCAGGAGGCTGAGGTGAGAGGATTATTTGAGTCCAGGAGGGAGAGGCTGCAGTGAGCCATGATCGTGCAATCGCACTCTAGCCTGGGCAACAGAGCAAGACCCTGTCTCAAAAAACAAAAAGGAATACTCAGTTACAAAACTATGGGTAGGGAAATCATACGTCTATGACAAGGAGCCTAAAGGTACTTACTAATCTAAAACAAAGTTCAAAGTTCTTTGATCACATTTAGGATTCCAGAGAGAAAATTCCAAGTTCTAGAAGTAAATCTACCAAGGTAACATAAGGAAAACCATACGCATTAAATTTTTAATGTAAATGCATCATTTGAATCAGTCATGTTAAATAACAAGATTTGTTTCTATGTTAATTGTTAGTTAAAACCATAAATCTGCAAACATTATACCTCTCTGTTGTGTTTCATCTAGAGTTTTGCCAGAAAGAAATGTGTTTTTTTTTTACTTACTGCAGCTTGCTGTTGTTTCAATTTGTCTCTATACGCCTCTAATTCTTGCAAATTGAGAACAGGTGGAAGCTTCTACAGAAAAAAATTCATGAAAGAAGAGGAAAAAATAAATTGTTTAATTTGGTTTCATTTACCTGGACCCTTCTGACTAGTGAACTACAAACTGTGCATACAAAACAGTGTCACATCCCACTGCCCTCCATGCCACCTGTCCTCCCAACCTCCCTCCTAGGTTCCAACCACAAAAGCCTATACATCTTTAGTACACAGCCCTCTGGTTCCACCCCTCATTCAGCCTTGTTACCCCCACTGCTGCTGCTCTGCCTTCTGAGAAACCCCACTACCACTGGGGACTCTGGACCCTAGGCCGACAGACACTGCTGCCACGGCCTGTGACAGGAGAATGTGAGACAGTAACTAACCTAACCCCAACTCTACCATCCACAGATATATCTCTATTTGTTTATGATAGAACTCAAAACAGATTTCTCCTCTGGAATATTACAAACCATAAGTACTACTGTGTGACAGTTGTTGGACTACATTCTGGATTACATCAGCTTTCAGAGGACAGTATGGGAAACTAACCAAAAAATGCATACCATATACAGGGAAACAATCTCAGTCAACTGACTGATGAAACTTCAAACTGAGCTGGGGACTGACTGTGAATAATGCATATAAAGTATATATGCATACAGCATTTGGTTGTATCTAAGACTAAATTTCACTATTCTGACTTTCGTTAAAGTTCTTATAAATTTAAAATGTCAGTATTATAAACACTATGGCATAAGAATTTTTATCATCACTAAACAATTATGTAAATACATATTTTGTAATTAAAAGTCTGAGCTTCTCTAAACATAGATACTATAAAATAGGATAGAAACAGCATACTAACACATTAAATACTAACAATTGAAAACCAAAAATACAGAAATGTTTCCCTGAACGGTTGTATTTAAAGTTACATTCAAAAAATAATAATTTCATCGCCAAACAATGCTGACAGTTGATTTAATCACAATGTGGTAATCACAGACCTATTCTGGTACCAAAAATACATAAATGCCTCAAAAAAGTATTCAAATCTCATAAATCCAATCACTGAACAAAACAGGCCTTAGTTATGTTTTAATGAAATTCTGTTTACCTCCAGCTCATATTTAACAATATCAAATGAATCCACAGAAAAATATACTTGTTCAATACTATTAATAAGCTCTTGTTCAGCTTGAGGGTCACTTGGCTGTTCTCGAAGTTCCCTGAATTCTTCCTTTAAGAAAAAAAAATCACAATTATAGTAATTGTAGCTGTTAAAATTATATCTGCATGGAAATAAATGATCATTTGTCTTAACAGTCACATCTACCTGGAACGATTCTGACCAAGGATACAAACCAACAGAAATCAGAAAAGTTCACAGGAAATTAGGAACTAGCCGACCATTAACACTAACAACTACAGAAGAAAACTAGCCAGTTTGAATATTTAGATTTTATTCTCAATTCCTTGCACATCAACAAGGTTGATAAAAATTTTAATGTCCAACAAAAGAAAAAAAAGTGACTACCTAAACATATCATACATACATATCACAGATATATAAATTTTACTATTTAATAATATTCTAAAATCTGTCTCACCACAGATAATAAGGGAAGAACACCTCAATAACTTCTGGGTCACAATCAACTTTGGAGTCCTGAATAGAAGACATCAACCCTGCTAAAAAAATCTCAGTACTCAGCTAAGAAACAGTGGCTCCAGAAAAGGTTCACAAATTTAGTTCTGTAATACTATGAGGCTTCCTTCAAAGTGGATTGCTGTTACAATTAATGATCTGATTATGAAGCTAAACTTCTCTATATGATAAAATGCTTTCTTTCTAATGATACAGAATGGAGGTTCTGTGGATTTGAAGAACAGCATGACAGACAAATCCCTAAACCCAATGTCAGCATCCCTATCCTATGCAATTTCACTGCATAATCAGATAAAGCTTCAGTTAACTAGTAAATTTTTACAATTCAGATACCCACTCCCCTGCCACACTAGTTAATCAAGACATTATAGACATATCACAAGTTAGCCATTTGATTTTTAATTCAAATTAACCTCAAATACATTTATATACACAAAAAGGAACTATTGTTTTAAATCATTTTCAGTAATTAAAATAACACAATAAAAATACTAAGGAAATGTACAAAAATTATCTGGTCAGTTAAAGAACAGTATATTTTTCTTTTTTCACTTTTTATGATACTTTGAGTTCTGGGGTACATGTGCAGAATGTGCAGGTTTGTTACATAGGTATACACATGCCATCGTGGTTTGCTGCACCCATCAACTCATCATCTACATTAGGTATTTCTCCTAATGCTATCCCTCCCCTAGCCCCCCACCCCCCAATAAGCCCCAGTGTGTGACGTTCCCCTCTATGTGTTCTCATTGTTCAACTCCCACTTATAAGTGAGAACATGCAGTGTTTGGTTTTCTATTCTTGTGTTAGTTTGCTGTGAATGACGCTTTCCAGCTTCATCCATGTACTTGCAAAGGACATGAACTCATCCTTTTTTATGGCTGCATATATTACAAGGTATATATGTGCCACATTTTCTTTATACAGTCTATCCTTGATGGGCATTTGGGTTGCTTCCAAGTCTCTGCTATTGTGAATAGTGCCGCAATAAACATGCGTGTGCATGTATCTGTATAGAATGATCTATAATCCTTTGGGTATATACCCAATAATGAGACTGCTCGGTCAAATGGTATTTCTAGTTCTAGATCCTTGAGGAATTGCCACACTGTCTTCCACAATGGTTGAACTAATTTACACTCCCAGCAACAGTGTAAAAGCATTCTTATTTCTCCACATCCTCTCCAGCATCTGTTGTTTCCTGACTTTTTAATGATCGCCATTCTAACTGGCGTGAAATGGTATCTCATTGTGGTTTTGATTTGGATTTCCCTAATGACCAGGGATGATGAGCTTTTTTTCATATGTTTGTTGGCTTCTTTTGAGAAGTGTCTGTTTATATCCCTCACCCACTTTTTGATGGGGTTGTTTTTTTCTTGTAAATTTGTTTAATTTCTTTGTAGATTCTGGATATTAGCTCTTTGTCAGATGGATAGATTGCAAACATTTTCTCCCATTCTGTAGGTTGCCTTTTCACTCTGATGGTAATTTCTTTTGCTGTGCAGAAGCTCTTTAGTTTAATCAGATCCCATTTGTCTATTTTGGTTTTTGTTGCCATTGCTTTTGGCATCTTAGTCATGAAGTCTTTGCCCATGCCTATGTCCTGAATGGTATTGCCTAGGTTTTCTTCTAGGGTTTTTATAGTTTTAGGTCTTACATTTAAGTCTTTAATCCATCTTGGGTTAACTTTTGTATAAGGTGTAAAGAAGGGATCCAGCTTTCTGCATATGGCTAGCCAATTTTCCCAGCACCATTTATTAAATAGGGACTCCTTTCCCCATTGCTTGTTTTTGTCAGGTTTGTGAAAGATCAAAGAACAGTATATTTTTCAAATAGAGACATTCTAGATTATTTTATTGCAGGGCATATTTTTTATTTGTAAGAAGAGCCTTGCTCAGATATCTTTTAGAGTTTAACTTATATTTTGTATTTGTAAAACTAACTATAAAATTATTCCCTATTAGTAATTTCAAGCCAAAAAAATAGAACAAATCTAAAACTCAAGAAAATGTTGACTGTTTAAATGTAAAGTTCCAATAAACTTAAAAGAGAAGGCAAACTCATAAATATCAAACCTGAATAATCAAATATGCTTGGAAAAGAAAATCCCTCTTCTGTGCTAACTCATAAAATACACCGAGAAAAAAAGGTCAATGACATAGCTATCACTGAGTCAGCGTGCAATCAGTTACTATGATTGCAGTAAGAAATCCAGGGTCCCAACAGTGGGAACTACATTCCTGAAGGGGTTTATCTACAACACAGGAATCCATTTAGCACCCTGGACAGTGGTGCTGCCGCACAGACTTGGTTAAAACTCACACGTGTGGAAGGGAAGGTTACCAACTAGCCTATCAACAGGCAGCCTCCATGCATCCAATTGAAATATGAAATGAAAGTCAGAAATGAAATGGAAGAGGAGGTCTGCACTTCCTGGAAATCTCTTTCCCTAAAAGTCCACAGGCATTTGAAATATCAGCTTCATATACTGTAAGCTGAGGGAGGGGAGGAAATGAGGCCCAAGTGAGGACATGGCAACACTGCCTCCCTAGGAATTCTGCAGTCTGCAGCAACATGAGCAAATAAATGCAGTTGATACCATTCAAGACAAAATATTTGAAGATTACAAAAACTGCTACGATTTTTTTAAATCAGAAATAGAGCCAAGCCAGAAATTCAAATAGACTGCAACAATTGAGTACTTTCATCTTAAAAGCATAAATGTCAATGACATATAACACCATGCTGAGGTTCTCCATATAGTACCTAATTGATTGATAAGAAGGTAAAGATACTTGGATTTTTAGCTGCAATTCCATCATTAACCCTCGGCAACTTAGTCTCTTCATGCCTAGTTTTTTTTTCACCTGTAAAGGGCAAACATGCATTCTCTCTCTCTCTTTCTCTCTCTCTCTCTCTGTGTCTCTCTCAAAATGACAGTGAAACAAATATCCGAAGTTATTAAGAATGCCAAAGAAAAAACATAATTTATAAGTATCTCACAAGTGTACATTTCAAAAACATGATGAATCTGTAAAAGGAGTACAATCTGTATATGTATGTCAAATGCTATTCTTTCCTAAAGAACTAAGCAATTAGTATCACAGAGAGCATACAACCCCATATAATTTCAAAGAACTGACATGGAACACCTGATACTCTGAAGTGTAAGAAACCTGGACTAAGGAAAGGAATAAAACCTAGAAAATCAGAAAAAGAAATGTAGCATACAAAATAGAATTAAATCTAAAACAAATGCCCCTATGTAATATTATTTCCCTATAAAATATCCTCTCCTTTAAAACAATTTCATAACTTCTATGTGAAAATATACATCTGAACTGGAACTTATTCAAACCCCCTTCTGATTAGAATCCCGATCACCGTGTTCTTTTTAGTCCCACTGAACTAGCAGTCTGTAAAGCTCTGCTTCTACCTAATCATTGTCCAAATGTTTCATCGCTGTTAGGGCTGCCTGCTCAATCAGACTGTACACTTCTTGAGAACTGAGATTTCTCTTCATTCTCCATCACGCTGCTCCACAGTGCCAAGGCACACCATAGATAATCACTGATCAAACTAAAATTAATTTACAGTTAATTGCAAAAAATGAATATAAGACAAAAGGAAAGGAAAAGACAATATGCTCTTGTTTCAATAGTCAAAATTTTCCACCAACTCTTAGTAAAACATTTCTTTCTTTTAATTAGAGATAACGATGTGAACTGATTTAGGAATATTTTACACATGTAAATTAGAAAAATAAACAGAAGCAACCAGATTGCCTATTCTTAACACAATTACTACATAATTTAATAGAAACTGATTCCCTAGGGTGGGAGATGTACAAAAATACATAATTCTTCACCTAAAATAGAACCAATACATAGGTGTGAGCCCAAATTTTACATAAACAAAATGAACAAAAAGTTTCCTATAAAAAAATTACAAGGCAAAATTGGGGGAAATGAATACCAAATGGAACTTCTTACACCATACTTAAACATATGATTTAAGAAAAAAATTATAATAATATTAGATATTCAAACTAAGTCTAGGATAAAATATTTCAGTCTTAAAAATGTTTAAAATATTTTTATAATAAATTTTATGTCACATAATAATTAATAAATACATAGTATCATTAATAGTGATATAAATGCTCTCTAAAACTTGAAAGTCCAAAAATAATTTGTCAACTACAGGCTACCAAATGTGCTGCCACACAACTTGCTGTCAATGGTAATCAACTAAGCAAAAAGTATTATCAGCATTACCCCAGAATTAAAGCTGGAGAAAAAAACTACAATTAAAGTAATGAATTGGAATAACAAAGAGGAGAAAACAAAAGCATAAAAGGCAAAAAATGAACAAATCAAATCTCTCTCCCATACTATCATTAGAAACTAACCTGCCTACTTTCAAAGCTCTATAACCTTATCTTCCCCTAAAAAACAAATTTCATTTAACAATTTTTTAAATTCCCATTATGTAAAAATTTCCCATACTAGGTCATACAGGAACGAAAATGAGTAAAATATAGCTCTTCCCTCAAACAGTTGTTAAAATAATAGGAGGGGTCAGATGAATAAGTAAGCAATGACAATGCACAGCAGAACATGAGGGTGATGCAAACAGAATGAAGGCATCAGACGGTGGGTTCACATCTGATGGAAGTGGTGGCATTTGGAAAATATGAGAGAATAGGTAGAATTTCAGATTTAGAAATTGGGAGAATAGGGTTACAAATATAAAGCAAAGCAAAAGTAAAAATATTGAATCGAGAAAGTGCACAACAGGTTAAAGCAATAAAGGGTGGCTTCCGCAGGATAGAAAAATGTCACAAGGGAGAGTCTGCATGTATGCCAAAAGACAAATGCAACAACTGAGATTTGTTTAAATTCAACATATTTTTTGTATATTAGAACCATATTTTCTTCACTAAAAGTAAAACATCTTAACACATATCACTGCCTCAGGTTAGGCTATATCAAAAACAGGCAAAAATATTCAATATTTTCTTAATGTAATAAACCAAGCAGAATTCAACGTTTTAGAGGCTGTGTTTTTCCAGCAGTCACAACATGCAATAAGGTTGCATATAATACCACCTAGTCTATTTTTCTATTTTGATCATGTCTGAGATAAAGCTACATGAACATGTACATAAATGTACATCAGAAATATAACTTTATGAAAAGTGAAGAAAAACAATCATATTAGAGATTTAAGTCAACATCTTTGATTTAGCAAAGCTACTTTTCCTCTCAATACAACAAAAAAGGTATTATGGGAATTGGGGATTCAGCTATGTAAAACAATTTGAGCCCTCAAATGTAAGGTATTATGATACATTCCCAGTATGTTTGTGGTTTCTAAGGAACTAGGCTATAACTTTACCAAAAAATTTTCCACTTAAGAGTTCATCACTCAAGGGAATATATTCAAGTTTAGGAGGAAAAAAAGAGAGACTACTAATTTTGTATTTAATCACTACTTTTAAATTATCTAAAATACCACACTAATTAAAAATACTAATCCAAATTCAGGGCTCTTAATTCTATTCACTTTTATAAAAAGTTATGACAGCTTAACAGTTTTCCTTACCATTATTAAACTCAATATTTTCTGCAATTTTGAAAAGTAATTTAACCTAATTTCTAAACCCACATAACAGCTTGGAATCTCATAATCTTCAGTACTAGTTTTTATTCAAACAAAAATATGAATGCAAATCTTTACTTCACAGGTCAGATTTCAAAACTCTGAAAAAAATATATAGAATAAAAAATGAAATGCACACCAACTCCTCTTTCTGTACTTAGCTCATTAGACCAGTCCACATTATACACCTGATTATATAACTCAGTGGCAGAATATAGTGCTTATATAGCTGATTATATAACTCAATGGCAGAATGCAGTGTATGTGTGTGTGTGTGTTGAGAAGGAAAGTGGAGAAATTTTACAAGCATGATTTGCGGTTTGCCACAGCAAATCTTTGATCAAAGACTTTTTTTTACTGTTTGCATTTCTTCATTCGTCAACATAAAAAATCTATTCTGTTATAGGGAAAACGGAAGCTATAATCTTACCAAAGTTAACATCACGTTAGGGCTCTAACTGAAAGCAAAAAAAAAAAGAAGCGTTTAGTGACCAAAATCTAAACAGAGCTAGAAGTAAGAACAAAACATGAAGTTTTCAATATTCAGTCAGTATTACAAAAGTCATTAATCACTGAACAGAAATAGATTTTATCTCTTTCCAAATGAAACAGGATTCAAAACTTATTTCAAGATCACAGATACCCTAAAACCACATGCCACGTAAGTTTATAATGAATGGCCAGATGTCTGATTACATGAGGAAATGGCACGTTCTCCTAAAATCCCACTAGAACAACAATAATAATCCGTCAAAGATAGCCGGTTCATCAGTTTCTGTGTGCATTTTAAATAAACTTATCTTTTAAAGCCTACCCTGTTTTTCTTCAGGCTTTTAGTGCCATCTAGTGGAATACTGTTGAAGTTACAATTTAAAAAGAGGTTTTGGGCAAAATGATTTATAGAACATTTTAATAAAAGGTTATTGGATCACATTTTAATCCAGCTTTATAACACAATCAAGTGATTAAGATGATGTATTTTAATATGTGTCACATGCCTGTCCTTTCTGGGGCTAACACTGAAGAAAAGACACATCATAAATCAAGATATACAGAGAAAAATCGAGTGTGTACATCTTAATTTTGTTTTTCTTTTGTTTTCGAACATCTCATCAGACACTTTCTCTAAAAGAAAACAATACTGTCTATTCTGAGAAAAGACAACATCACAGCACCTTCAATCCCAGTGCCTTTCACAGGTTCTTCCACCTTCCAAATCCAATAAAATCATCAATCTTAAATTCTGCTTTTTAAATGTCCTTCCAATGCAACCCTTCTCCATTTCCTATACCTTATGTTCCTGTTTTCTTCTTAATCAGTATCCTTGTCCCCAACCTCTACTCAACAACTCACCCCATAAAACTGTAATCTTTCTTAAAAAAATTAATCGCCAACTCTAAAAGATCCTGAATACATTTCTACCTACTCCACATCCTCTCCTAGCTGAACTCTGTTGTGCCTCTACTCCTCTGCAATTATCTATTTTTGCTTGTCTCCCCCACTCAGGTTGAGTTAGGAACAGTCTTGTACCTCTCTGCATCTTCAATGATTAGTAACTGCCTGGTTCCATAAGTGTTTGCCAAATGGACTGTATGAATGAACTTATATGATTTGCTATGAAAGAAGGGTTAAGAATCTCAAAGCATCTGAAGCTATGAGAAGCATAATTTCATTAATGGTTAAAAAGAACACAACTAAATACTGTTAGCCATGAGCACCTAAGAAAAACTCTTAAATGATTTTGCAGATCCATAGTTAGAGTCTCCCTTAGTACCACCTGCAGAAGACACCTGTCCTAAATGATACATAATCCTAAATTGAAAGTCTTTATCATGATCACTAAATAAATTCACCTAGTCATAAACCTCAATACTAATCCTCTCTAATACAGACACCAATATGCAAATCTTCTAACAAAAACTGCTCAAAAAATTATTTAGAATGTATATTTCTTGTGTCATATTTCTCCTACAAAAATTACAATATAGAAAGTATAAAACATTCGAGCAAAAAGGATTCCAAAAAAGTCTAGTTCAATAGCATCTTTTCACAAATGAAGAAACTGAGGCACAAAGCATTAAAATGACTTCCTTTCAACAAGCTGTATGTTTAAGTCAATACTTCAACCTATGTCTCTTGACTGTGATTCAAGCACACTCTCCACAAATTTTGGTAAAACTGTAAACCAAGCTCTGCAGTTAGCAGGTGGTTTTAGGATTCTTTTAATGGATTTTAAGAAGTCAAGTCAAATCGGTTTATCTGATTTCACAGAAGTACTAGAAACTCTAGAAAACATTCTGCTCAAATTCCTAGAATTTATATAAGTAGAAATGCTTCAGAGTAGGCAGGTACTCAATAAATATTTGTTGAATGGATGAAGTATAAAAAAATTATTTCTTATCCTTAAACAATTATATTATCAAATGTTGACTGCAACAGACATTTATTTTGTCACCTCATCCTATATTTTTCTTTCACGAAAAAAAATCAAAGGTAAACCAATCATGTAAAAGTAAAGACAGCTGAATCCCATTACTATTTATGAGTTAATTAAATTGAGGCCAAAAAAACCCCCTTATCATTAAAGAATACTATGAGGAGGCAATGCTTCACTAAAAACTCGTAAAACAATATTAGTATCAATACTCTTTTTCAGGTTCACATTGTGCCACTGTGGAAGTACTATGGAAAGTGTATATTAATAAAGGCTGGATGTAGATTTTATAAGGTTCTGAATACTGGTATTTTTACTTTTTAATCAGGGTTCAACAAATACTCTCAAACACAGTCCAAATAAGTTCTATAACTAATAACGTTGTGGCTCTACTATCATATATTATAACAAATACTAGTTGTATTCTTAATTCTTGTAACCAATTAAGTAAAATACCTTTCATGTTTAAATGGATTAACAAACTTAGAAAATACTACCTAATTTCTTATATCTTTAACTCTGCATGAAAATCCCACTAATTTGAAACATAACAGAATCCATTTCGAAGAATGAAATTTTAGGTCATTCTATCTTATTCTACAAAAATTCTCAGTAAAACTTCCAAACAATTTTTTAGAACAGTTCCTCTATTTCCTGTTGCTCCATTCTTGAGATAATATTCTCATCTTGGCCATTGGTTCCCAAACCTGGCTCTACACTGGAATTACCAGGGAATCTCTAAATATTACTGACACTTGCCTCCACCCAAAAACGGTGATTTAATTGGAATTGGCCATGGCCTGGGGACTGTTGATTCTAAATGTACAGCAAAGTTTGGGCACCACTGATCTTGGCTCTGAGCTATTTAAGCTAAAATTCCTGAAATCTGTCTAAAAGTTTCCTTTCCTCTAGCAAGTTCTGAAAAGAACCTTAAATGTTTTCTACTTTTCTATACTATTTTATCCACCCAAATTCCAAATTTCCAGTATATAGATTACCATTTGACTTGCATCTGCTCTTAAAATCGGGCACAGGATCAGATTGTCTATAAAATGCAGAAATTGTACCAGATGGTTTATACAGTTTCTTCCCACTTTGAATTTATATAGTTCTAAAATAAATAAATAAATAATACCATCTGGCTTATCAAGCACACCTAGTGCCCTTCAGTTCTCCTTCACTACCCTCCTTTTTCTAGCAAGTTGAAGCACATACAATTTGCCAATATTTGACCATTTTAAACTTAAACAGCCATCATTTATCCTAACATTTTTCTCCTACTTATCCTTTATACTGGAACCTTTTCATGTAACAGAACCCAAACTAACCTATTTCTTTCTTGAAAATGCCACTGAAATCTCTCAATTCCCTGTCCTAACTTAGAAAGATACTATGAAAAGAAAGGAGCCGATTCCTGAAGACCAGGCATATGTTTTTTAAAAGTTGTACCTACAGTTATAAGTGAGGCAGAGCTATTAAATGAAGTTAATGTTTATAAGTTTTCCATATAAGAATTAACAGTGACTACTTAAATAGCACAAATTGTTAAGTTCAAAGAGTACTCCCCTAAGCAAAACTAATGGGTACCTTGCTTTTTAAACCTAGAATATACTGTGAGAATTTTCTATGTTATATATATATATATATCACCAAGTTAAAAACCCAAGCTTCCAAATAATTTCTAGAGTATGATACCATTTTTAAAAGGTTGTATAACTTATAATACCATTATAAAAAGCTATACTGACTACTTCCTGTAAAATAACTGCCAATTTCAAGGAGTTTATCTCATCGCCCTGTTTCCTTCACAGTATTATAATCTGTAATCGCCTTACCCCTGCTTGAATGTAAGCTCGCTGTCTGACAGCAGGGAAGTTTTGACTTTTGGAGAGAACTTTTGTCTTTTCACTGCTATACTGCCAATCCCTAGAAAGTATCTCTAGCACATAGAAACTCAATAAATTTGTGGAATATGCATAGGGAAAAGACCAGTAGGCAATGTTAACCTTGACAGTGTTGGTGATTTTTGTGATTTTTTTTTTAAGATACCTTTTTCCGTTTACCATGTTTTCTGTTTAGAGCATACATTAATTTTATATTTAAAGCAAAAGTTATTTCAAAATAATCATTTGAATTAACATTTTCCATTTTGTTAAAATGCTTTTAATCTTAATTTTAAAAGATCTTAAAGATCTTCTTCAATTACATCAAATTTCAGGTCATCAAGAACTAGCAACAACATTAATTTCAAAGCAATTATACAAAAATAAATCATTAAAATATATGTGTTATGATCTAAGTATAAAGTCTTATCTAAATTGTGAAAAAATACTGAACATTAAAGCTACATCAAGCTATGCTGTGTAGGGAATTTCTGAATATGAGTCTTCTTAACTCCTGATCTCAGTACTGACTTCAAACCTCATCCAAAGACTCAGTTTACTGACTGGAGCTTTGCCACTCTCTGGACCCAGCAACTCTCATGTTCTCAGAACCACCCAGAAAGAAGGCAGAAGCTCTGCTCACCCTCCATCATTTGTTATGCTATAGGAGAACACAGAAAAAACAAACAGGCAGATGAAGCTTGTAGGGATTTCTTAGTGTAAGGTTAAATGTAAGCTTATAGCATCAATACATTTTTTACTATTAACTGTTTTATTATTTAACTAACTTAGCTTCTTAGTATGTGCTAAAGAGACCAGTGCTTTAGGCTTACTCTTCACCTGAACCATTTATATTTGCTGACCTTGTGATCCCAGACTGGCCACTCCACCCAAGGCCAGTTATCCTAAAAGTACAGACAGCACTGGTCACTGATGGAGCTAGGGGTGTACATTTAATAAGAAGACTTTGTAATGAGATCACCATATTCACTACCAACCAGTACTGGGAAAACATCATGGCTCATGGTGGAAACACAACAGAAAGTTCTTGTTAAGACTGTAATGTATTTTTTTAAAGAGGCTCACTCATCAATTTGACATTGATTCTGCAATATGTAATACAATCTAATTCAAGGTATGTTCATAATGCATGATAATCTTTTTCTTAACTCAAAGAAATAAAGAGAATTATTGTCAATTAATTAGGATTTATGGCTATCTCTTGTTTCCCAACCTTTTCATAGTCATTAATTTTTAATAACATTACATAAAACTATACGGAATGCTTTTCTTAAGTTTTTGTCTGAACCATTTCATGCAAAAGGGTTGGTTATAATTTTATTGCATTTGGAGAATATGTTTCAGCCTAACCCAAAATAAAAACAATGCAGTAAATACAAAATTCACTTTAGCAGGTAAGGCACCTGAAAGAGATGAGAAATCATCCTCCTAAGGAGCTGACACCGAGGTGTAAGGAGAGGCCTTAAACTGCTGATCAAGAGAAGCACACCCTGTGTATTCAAATGCCTGATGCAGAAAACAAACAGTATTTTCACGTATCACTCTCAAATTAAAAAATACAAAAACAGACATTCAGAAGTGCCAGCTTAATCTGTGATGGAGCAGCTATTCACATGGGCAGCTCCAAGCAGCAACACTCCAGAAAAACAGCAGGGATTTAACAATACTTAATAATTCCAAGGGGAATCTAGCTAGCTTTCAAATAACCTATATAAAATTTGTAAACTGAGAAATTCACGTGAATATCAGAGGATTAAAATCTAAAATACCTACAATCTAGGAGATAAGTTATACAATTCAGTATAAATACTATGGTTTAGATGCTTTTTCAAAAACCTCTGCTCCACAACAAAAATATAATCATGATTTTTGGCACAGAATGTTAGGAGTATAAAAAGTCAGTAGTCAACTATTTCACTTTATTTCTACAAATTACAGCAGATAAATCAATGAGAGAGAGAGAGAGAGAGAGTGTGTGTGTGTGTGTGTGTGTGTGTGTGTGTGCATACACATATATACAACTGCTTTCAGGCTAAGAATTTAATATAATAAATTCCAAATTTATCAAGTTTGCATTTTTTGCTTTGCTATAATGCATCATACATACTGCATCCCAACGTGTAATGAAACAAGCCCTACACCTACTATACAATAAAAATTTACCTAGCTTATCTTAACAACCATCTGCCTGTGGGAAAGAAAAGCTTCTGTGAATCAATTACTATCCAGAGGCAATCATATTTTCTTAAGGAAGTAAAAAGTCACGCTCACACGTGTAGCTCAATACCTTTCCAGGGACCCGGAGACTCTCTATGGCACCAAGATCACTGAGGCTTTCTTGAGGGCTTTTCAGACCCTTAAAAAAATAATAAGATGAGGAAAATTTTAATCATGCTGAAGAATTATAAAAGGATAGAATACACCTACTGAAACAGAAATGACCACTTTAAAAATAGAAATTTTCCTGCTTCAAAATATGGAAGATATATTCTAAAAGCAATCATCATTTAATACATATAGTACTATTATTAAATCAGAGAAGGGTGTACTTTTGGTATTTTAAAATAAAAGAGTATTATACGGCAACTTCACAACTAATGGTAGAAGTCCAACCCATCTATGATTTGAAAACAGCCAAAAGTAAAGAAACTTACATAACAAAAAGCATTCTATAAAAGCCACTTGTATATACAATAATAATTACTAAATCCATCAGGAAAAAAGTCCAAGCAATAGTATTATGATTCACAGATACAATATACTAACCAACTAAGCTAACATATAAGTAATCCCTTCATTTTACTTGATTATTTCCCACCAATGTATCCAATTCATGCTGCATAAATTAAGATTGAAGTCTCATATCTCACTGTCTTTTACCTGTCCTTTAGTTCTTTGGTGCCCTGTACTTTCTATATTCACATCAACTGAGGGATTCTGAAAGCTTTATTTGTACCAGGGGAAATTATTAAAATAGAAAGAAATCAGCAATTTACATTTTCTTTAAAATCCTCTTTTTAAAAATAGGCTATTCGAAGCAGACATTTAATGTCCCTGCAATATTAGTTTTTAGGCAAAATTAGCTATTATTAATTTGAGGAGAGATTTATGATACAAATTGTCCTTTAGGTGCCCTATATTGGGGATCCTTAGTAACCAAAATATATGGTATGCTTATGTTGACTATTTGAGACTCAGAGCAGAACTTGCTTATCTTTAAACTACAGAGATGTGTATTTTCTCTTCCCTGTTGTAAAATACCACTAGTCATATCTAAAATTTTTTATTACAAAGTGCTCTGCCTCAACCGCAAGTTTTCCATTACCCCCAGAATATCTAACCTACCCACCCTTCTCTCCCCGTCTCCCTCTCTCAGGCACACTTACCACTCCAAGAAATGAGAAAGCAATACATCACTTTCAGAATTATCTCCTCTACAAAGTCTTCCTAAATCCCTATGCTCCAAAGAACACAGTATTTCTCAGTATAACCCTTGGATCATGTCCATCAACACCACCCAGGGAACTTGTTAAAAGTAAGATTCCTAGGCCCTAAAATAAACCTAATGAATAGGTTTTTCTAGATTTGGGCCAGGAATGTGCATTTTCCCAAAACAATACCTCAGTAAGACATCTTCCAAGACAATACCTCAGCCAAAGTAGTAAAGTTTTAAATTTTAAATATATCTTTCTCTTCCAAACTTTAAGTCCTAAGGAAAGGGAGAGACAAAGTCCTATTTGCCTCTGCAGCCCAGTGGCTAGCAAAGTTCCAGAAACAGAGTAAACAACAAAGAAATGAGTAAATTATTAGGTAGAAGTCATTGGTCAGGCTCCAATCTCCCACAAATTAGCGCATTGTTCCCATGGGAACATGTAATTGACTGCAAAAAAATTTCTAGGAATGCTCGCTGGAAAAAAAAAAAAGGCCTAAGGAGGTTTAATATGCCTTTCAATGAGTGAGGGAGAAAAATAGTATGTTACTAGTCTTGGGCGGTTTGTTCTTCCCTGTCTCGAATTCTCACCAACAGTCATGAGGGAATAGCATCAAAACTGGTAAAGAAGGCAAGGCTGAGTTACCAAACTACACTTCTATATACATTATATATGCACACATGAAAGTAAAACTTCCCAATTTGATTCAAAATCATGACCACCCCTAAAATATATTTTTAAAATGTAATTGCCATGTCTTTTAAACAAACATTTTTCAAAGTACACATGCTCCTCGACTTACAATTGGGTTATGTTCCAATAAACCCATCATATGAGAACATATGGAAACATACAGAAGAAAACAGACACTGAGACTGCCTGAGGGTAGAGGGTAGGAGGAGAGAGAGGATCAGGAAAATAACTATTGGGTACCAGGCTTAATACTTGGGTGACAAAATAATCTGTACAACAAACCCCTGTGACACGAGTTTACCTATAGAACAAACTTGCATAGGTACCCTTGAACTAAAAATAAAAAAAATTTTTAAACCCATTATAAGTGGAAAATACATTTAATAATCTCAATAAAACCATCATAAACTCAAAAATTCATTAAGTGAAACCATAGTAAATCGGGGACCATCTGTATAGATTTGCTTAACTAATCTAACAGAAATCCCTGAAGAAATATATCATATTTAATTTCTCTTTCCCCAGAGCTAGTCCGTAAAGAAACCAATGCCTGAAATGTAAACGTGATATATACCAATATCTAGAAAAAGTAGTCACCACACAACAATTCAATACCAATACACGGCAAATTTCTGCCAAATGTACAAAATAAAAGTAATACAAATTGAAAACCCGTGTACATGTTAGGAGGATGTAGAGTGAAGTGATTATAGCAATGGGCTCTGGAGCAGACCACTTGAGTTTGTATCCTGACTTTCTTGCTGTGGTTTTGAACAACTTATCTATCCTTTCTGTGCATTATATTCTATGATCATTCATAGGCTATTATAAGAAGTAAAACAGGCCGGGCGTGGTGGCTCACGCCTGTAATCCCAGCACTTTGGGAGGCCGAGGCGGGCGGATCACGAGGTCAGGAGATGGAGACTATCCTGGCTAACACAGTGAAACCCCGTCTCTACTAAAAATACAAAAAAAAAAAATTAGCCGGGCGTGGTGGCGGGCGTCTGTAGTCCCAGCTACTTGAGAGGCTGAGGCAGGCGAATGGCATGAACCCGGGAGGCGGAGCTTGCAGTGAGCCGAGATCGCTCCACTGCACTCCAGCCTGGGCGACAGAGTGAGACTGTCTCGAAAAAAAAAAAAAAAAAAAAAAAAAAAAAAAAGAAGTAAAAGAGGTCATGTATGTGAGAAGCCAAAAATACTGTCTCATATATCTCAAGCATTCTGTGATGATTAACCATAATTCTTAATATTTTTATTATGACAGAAATGCTTTCCTTTTATCAAAACAGAAATGAAGAATTACATAAATGTCTCAAAGCACATCTGACATTCAACTGTACTTTAGAATTACAGATTTTTAACACTTTATCAGTTTTATAAACTTCTACTAACAAATGAAGTCATTCTTATTTTATCTTCATCTCTCTAAAGCATGAAGTCATGGTTTTAACTACAGTTCTCTGCCTTTATTAACACTTTGATGCTATCATTAACCACTATTTGATTTTCTTTTGTATTTGATGTTTGTGTTGATAATTCCCCAGTTTAGACATATAGAAAATTCAGCATAAATTAACACTCGCCTCTTCATTTACCCAAATCAGATTAACACTTCAGACTACTTCAGTTATGTCTACATTAATCCTCATTTTCCATTTACGAAACCAGCAACTATGTCTTATCCATCCAAAGAAGCATCTGTGATGATTTGTGTTTCCTTCTCCTTTCGGCAAAACTCAAGAGTGTTTACACCCAGTCCCTAATTTCTCTCCCCCTATTTTCTCCTGAACCCACTCTAATCAGGCTTTCCTCCCCACAACTTCATGAAAACTGCTGTAGTTGGGGCACCAAGGACCTCCACGCTGCTCAATCCAAAAGCACATTTCTCATTCTCACTCTCACCTTACTTGACCAATCTGCAGCATTTAACACAGCTAATCACTCCTTACTCTTTTAAATTCTTTACTTGGCTTCAAGGCAGTCTTCTTGGTTGTTCTCTTCATCCCACATTCATGCAACAAATATTTATTGAGCATCTGCTATATTCCAGGTGCCATTCAGGAAGCTAAAGACTTCTTACCTCACAAGCTGCATGTTCTCATTCTGCTTTCCTAGATCCACCACTTCCCCCTGAGTTTTTAACACTGGATTCTCAAAAGCTCCAACCTTAGATTCTTTGTATATCTACACTCATTCCACTGGTGATCTTAACCAGTTTATATGCAATCTACATGTTTGTAACTCCCAGAGTTTCAGCTATACCCTGGATTCGCCCCATAAATTCAGATTCATCTGGCCAACTGCCTGCTGTATCTCTCCAGTTGAATATTTAAGAGGCTTTCAAATTAACAAGTCCAAAAACCATGTCCCTTCCCTCAATCTGTTCCTCCCTCAGTTTTATCCATCCGAGGAAATGGCAATTACATTCTTCCAATTGCTAGGGCCAAACTATTTTGAGTCATCCTTGATGCTTCTCTTTCCCTCACAGCCCAAACCCAATCTGTCAGGAAATTCTGTCACCTCTACATTTACAGCATATTCACAGTCTGACCTCTTTCAACACTTCCACCACTAGGGTGGAAGGCTTACACCCACCCTCTCACCTGGATTACCACAGTAGCCTCATCATTCACCTCCCCTGGTTTTGCTCTTTTCCGCTCTTCAATCTGTTCTTAAAACATGGGTCCAAATGGTCTGTCTGAAGTGTTATGTCCAATTATATCATTCCTCTATTTGCCATTTCACTCAGAATGAAAGCCATGACCTTGCTATTACCTATAAGGTACTACATGATCTAGCTTCCTGCCTTCAGTCATCTAACCTCATCCTAACCTCATCTCCCACTACTCTTCTCCTCACTCACTTCACCCACACAGGCCACTTGCAATTTCTCAAACAAGCTCCTGCCTCAGGACCTCTGCATTTGCCTTTCCTTCCACTGGAAATGCTCCTTCCCAAATATCTACCTCACAGAGTTCACTTCCTCACCCCCTTCAGGTTTTTTTATATTACCTTCTCTGTGAGGCCTTCCGTGGCCATCCTATCTAAAATTATAAGTGACCTCAAATCACCAACAATTCCCAGGACTTTCTATCCTCTTTTCCTCTACAGTGTTTATCACCGTGTCTGCCTTAACACTTGTCTATTTTTTTTTTTTTACTTAGAATAGTACCTGGCACAAATTGCTCAATAAACATTTGTTGAATGGACTGAAAGAACAGAGGTGAGCATGATGGAGAAAGATGAAGAACAGATCTCATCTAAATAAAGAGAGCTAACAAAGCCTTCCTTCCTCCCATTATTTTGCAAACAAAGATCCCAGGACAGCTGAAATGTCCCAAAGCTTAAATTTCACAGACCTTAATTTCCTATCTCTCCATATTAACTCAATATATATTATTAGCACATTCTATAGGTTCAAAAAAAGAAATACTTTCATGTATACTTACTTGTAATCCTATTAAATTTAACCCAATAATAAACTGTACTAATTCAAACCCTCAATGTAAATAGCAGGCACACTAATTTCATACCTCATAGATTCAGGAACTGTGCATCAGTATCAAATATGTGAAAGTCAAGCCATAACATATATAATTAGGATAACTTTAAATATGTATGCAAAACTCCTAATTTTACCTCACTTTGTACACAGTATGGTTCCAGCTTTTTGTATGTGTTCTTTAATGTATTTTTTTCCATTTCAATTAAACACAGGTTTGACCTGCTGAAATTCAATAAGCAACTGACTAAGGCTTAAGTGTTACCATTTTCAGCACAATTGCATTACATTTAGGAGACATACACTTATCACTGCTATCTGAAATTTTTTTCTCTCCTCAGTTTTACAAAATGAGGTCAAAAAAACTAAACCAACCACAGCTACCATACAATTATGACAACGTTAACTACACTGAACTGTATGGCAGGCAACAAACTTGAGACAGCATCAAACAGCTGATGCACAAAAGTCCAAATTCAGCATTCCAAAGGCAGTTTAGAGGTATTAGTGATATAAAGTACAAAAGTATATATTGATTTAAAAATCAAACAGGTACCGAAGTCAGCATGAACTTATCTATTGCTTGAATTACTGCAACAGCCTGCTTCCAATTTTCCTGCTTTCCCACCATCAACATAGCCAATGTAACTAACGGTCTCTGCGTTCAAGCACTTCCTTGATAATGCCCAGGAACTCCGTTAACGCCTTAAACTCTTTAACTTCATTATATCATGTAAACACCACTATCAGGCTAACTCCATAAGGCACACATTATTCCTATTTTAAAGATGTGGAAATAGATGCTTAAAAACGTTATGTAACTTGCCGAAAGTCACACAGCTGCCACAGGATACAGCAGGACCCAAACTCATCGTCAAGTAAGAAGTAGTAGGACGCACAACACCAGTACTCAACACATGTGAGGAATTAACAAATGTTACTAGCCACTTACTTAAATATTTTTATTATTCACAGAACATTTTGATTATATTTTCATAACATTAACAAAATGCTCTGACATAACTAAAATAATCATGTAAGGGTCATTTGTGCATTGTGCAAGAGAAATACACAATTTGTATCCTGTTTATATATCTCTCAAATTGTGAATTCTCAAATAAGAATGTGGAATTTGAGTTATTTTTGTAATCAACAAGAAAAAAACTCACAAATATACCTTTCACTAAACGATTACCTTCCACATTCTCCAAACTTCTAAAAGCCATGTTGATTTAAAACTCTAATCTTAACTATCTTTCATATTAAAATAATAAAATGACCAATTCTAGTGAAATATTAAAGCTGAAGTAAATAAAGGCAGCTAAAACAAAGTCATAATCAATAAGTACATAAAAGAAAATTTCTGCACTTCTTAAATGAAGCTGAGGCATTATTACGAGGTCCCTAACATTTATGAGACAGGTTACAAAATAGCCAAAGCTCTTATTCATGAATTTCCATTCTGGGGAAAAAAAAGAAAAGATCAGTATTTTGCCATGACAAAAATAAATTTTTTAAAGCAGAATTTCACAAAGAGTTTTCACATATATTAGCTTATCGATGACCCTCATAACAGAACTGTGAAGTAAAATGAACAAAAATAATTATTTTCACATCCAGAAACGTAAGCTACAAAGTTTGGGGACTTGCCCAAAATCCAAAAGCTACTAATTCTGTCTTCAAATCATCCGTTTTCAGTCTTTCCAGGTCACCTCTACTGCACAGACCACACCACCCTACCCAGGCTATCAGCTCGCATATGACAGACAGCCTGGATGCGGAAGACCTTGCAAGGAAGCTCGGGCTGTTCTGGAAAGACGGCAAAAAGAGGAGGAGGGGAGACAAAGATACCCTGATTCCTTCAATGACTTATTTTTAAACGAATATTTCTGGGAGGCTGGTACCCGCTGGAGCAGTGCTCCAACCCAGGCGGCCCAGGTGAGTTTTCTAGGGTATGCCCCGGCTTCCCAGTCCCCCTGACACCTGCCACCACCCATAACTTAGATCCCCGCCCGCCACTGGTTGGGGACAGAACATCTCGGCTCCTCTCACTTCCGAGATGAAGGAAGCCTTTGCTTCAGCCGCCGCGACTTACCTGTCGGGTCATGAGAGATTTGATTTTTTGCATATCGAAATCCTGAGGAGGGTACCCTGCCTCAAAGAGCTAACAAATCACACCGAGCCACTACACAGCTGGCCCTGACACTAGGAAGCCATAGTGGGTGGTCACGTGGAGGAGCCGACCCAGGGTATCCTGTCTTTCCCTGGGCCTGCTGGGAACTGTAGTCTTCTGGACGCCGGCGGTAGCAACGATGAACTAAAGTGGCCAACCCAGGGACTACATCTCCCAGCAAGCAAAAGAGCGGGTGCTTCAGTTAAGCCGGTAAATATTACTGCTCAGAGCGACCACTGCGATCGCCGGTCTTACAAAGGTGCTTGCACTAGGCAGTAGCTACTCTTCGGCGAGACGGAAACCTAAGTCACAGGTGACTAGGCGTTGAGCGAAAGATCAAACTCAGAGGAGACAATATATAAGCCAGATTGACGCGATGTCCCCTAGGAGTGTGAGGGAGGAAACCTCACCTGGTCTAGAGGGGCGGGGTGGGAGAACGAGAGACTGACGCGAAGGAGAAGGAACTCAAGAAAGGGCTGTCACTGAGGGGTAACCTGAGAACTCGAGACTACCCCGGGCGCGCTGGGTTTGGCCTGAGGAAAGGTGTGCTCTAGGTTGCCCAATAGGCGGCCCTCCAGGTTTAGGGCTGTTCTACCTCAGTCTTGGTATCCCCTGCAAAAGCTCTAAAATCGAAGGATTTTGACGCCCGCCTATTATTTTACCTCCGTACTCTAAAGCAGTGATGACGGGAAATACGACAATAACGAGTATACCTGTCACTTTAAAGTCCTCTTTTCAACTTTTGGCAGTTTAGTTAAATTGGGGAAAGGAACAGAAGTGTCTTTGGGGACACAATTTTAAAAGGACTTTACAATTATGAGAATATGAGAAGAAGAAGAAAAAGCAGCCCTAAAGCTAACAATGATAGCTAACACTTATCGAAAGCCGAGTACCTGTCAGGAACTGCTAATAGCTTTAAATATATGATTTCATTTATCCACACAAGAATCCTGTGGGTTCCCATTTTAAAGATGACGAAGCAGGTATGGCGAAATTAAGGAACTTGCCTAAGATTACTGCAGATGTGCAAGTAGAAACTGAAGGATTAATCGGTCATCAGATGTGTTAAGATTTTCATGTATTGTGCTGAAGAAAGTTCTAAAGCATGGCACCAATTTTTTTAAGTTTATTTTATTATAATGTTAACTTCTAAAAGTATGACACAGACCCATAATTTCAAAAATATTTCTTAGAATAAAAAAAGTTCAAGTGTGTCAACGTAATAAAAAATACTAGGTAAACAATAGTATGGGTGGTAGTCAGATATGGCAAAACTAATAAAGGTGATTTGCAAATGACTGAAGTTTGGGGGACACTAACAGAGGTTATTTCTGATTCTGAAATTCTATTTTCTCACCCCTTAGAGCCTCGTTTTATTAATTTTTACAAATGAGGTTGTAATATTTTAATATTTTATATAGGGCTTTGTAAGGATAAGTGAGATGATGTAGGTGAATGAAATGTATAAATTGTAAAGCACTATACAATTATGAGGTATTATTGGTTTTGATTCTGCCCAGTTCTCTACTCCAACAGAACCACCTTGTGCATACTTGTATCATCACTGCGTTCAGCAATTCCTTTGAAATTATATGTTTACCTATATGCTTCTCTGACTCTGTTATTTCTAACCCCTTCAAGAAATTCTGGTCACATTTAGGGCAAGTCTAGTTTAGTTTATTCTTTACCTTCTCTAATCTTAATTGTCAGACTGTTCTTTGTGTGTGAAAATCTGCAATATTTAGAAGTCCCTGAAAGCATCAAAAGAAACAAAAACTGCCAGCCATATTAGCCTATAAAATAAAACCCAAGTCAATAAACATTTCTTGATTGTTGCGCTCAAGGCAACACTAAAATAAGCACTTTGATTAATAATCTATGGTTGTGGTCACAAGGAGTTCACAACTGGGTTTAAAAGCATATCTTAGGGGTGATCTGAGTTCAGTAGATCTCAAACCTGACTGTTCAGATTCACCTGAGGTGTGTGCTGTTATTATTGTTGTTTTCTTTGGGGATGTTTGTTTGTTTAAAATCTTCAGTGATTCTTAAAGGCAGTCCAGCTCTAGCATGTCAAATCCATGCTGTAAAGATGAGAAAACGTATCTGTATAAGGGTTCGAGACCACATATTTCATGAGAGCTTGATCTAGGACTAGAACCCAGATTCAACCCCGGAATTTTCTCCCTCACATACTCAAATACACAAAGTTAAAGATGATCCCCCCAAAAAGTTTTTTTTATCTAATATGTGTATTTCTATTGGCCAAATTCAGAAAAATGAGTGTTATCCCTATCTATTCGACACTGAAAACGCAAGAAAGTATTGAAACTTTGTTTTACTCCAAAACTCTACATTTTAGTTTATTTCCTACAAACTGGAGAAATGGATAAAAATGGATACAGTCTTCTAAATGTTTTAAGGCTATAACTATAATATTGAAAGCTTGTAAAGTAAATCAGCGCTGGTGTCTAAATAAACTATATTTTCTAATTCAGCATACCTTAACACTATATGAAATAATTGAACCTTACGTTATTCATTTCTATCTGTCTACGCTCAAAAAAACAAAAAACTTGGCATCCTAACAAACACTTTTTAAAAGGTTGGACATGCTGCTATTTCCTTTCCAATTTTCAAAAAGGTATTTATTTTTAAGATTTATTCAGGACTTTCACATTTACCTGAGAGCTGTTGTTAGTGATAGTCCAGTGCAAAATAATGGAAAGTTTAGATGGTCTGCCACCAAATCCTGGGGAAGGTTGGCTGGATACCAATTCCTTGGTAAAGGAGTGCAGAGCCAAGAGTTAAGTAAATTGATCTGATTCAGAACAATAGGATTAGTAGTAAAGTAGGATAAGGGCATATTACTAATGGCCCAAAACAGGAGGAATGTCTGGAAGCTTAAATAAAAGCTGAGATCCTGGTTTGATTAGAAAGATAAAATTTCTTACCACTCCACAAATACCAAAGCAGTGGAGAGATGCAGCCCCTCCAAGATGATATGACTACACTTCTTGAGCAGGCCATAACAGAAAACAGAACACTTGCCAAAGGTAAAGTAGTGACCTAAAGAGGTGCCCAGGAAGAAGACATTACTGCTTAGTATTTAGCAGCCATATAAGATAGATCAAGGCTTCCACGAGGCAGCTTTGTAGACTTTACAGAAGTGAACACTAGCACAGGCATAGGCATATGTGATAGCCTCCTCTGGCAGCTAACTCTCCCTGTAAACTGGAGAGAATCCACTAATTACAACAATAAGAAACATTTCTTTCCCCAGTTCTTATTCCCCACTGTTCTGCATCTACATTGACCTTGGCATTTCACCACCTCTCCTTAATTGTTTCTGCCACTGCAAAACATGCGTGTGCTAGCTACTTGTGATTAAAAATGTGGATGTTTGAAATGCATGCAGCAGACATTTACTGTATGAAGTAATACCAGTCTGCAATTTAAATAAACTAGATTGTAAACTGTGTAGTGTGATTTGAGAGGTAATAAAAATCCCTGCCCCCAACAAACATACACACACATACACACACACACACACACACACACCCTCCTGCACAGGAGTATATGTGTCCATATCCCATTGTAAATGCACGTGGACACACACACGCATACTCTATCCCAGTGGCTCCTTACATTGCTTGCAGTTTAATCACCGTGGATATAGATTGTTTTAGGTTAATCAGCCTTCTCATTTTAAATGCAAATATAACTAAGATTGGTAAACAGTAACACTACAGGCCCTTTTTTCCTGACTGGAATGATAACAGCAGAACTTCCCAGTGGGTTACAGGTGTGATGTGAGATATGGATGGTAGGAAAATTCTTATAATTATAAAACCTTCAAACTATTTTTAAGAATCATGTAAAAATTAACAATTGTTGAAGTTAAGCTTGAGCACTCTTTTTCTCACTTCCTGTGTAAACATGTTGAAATCAGAAGTTACTCCAGCAGGTAAGAGTTTATATCTACAGTTTACCACTAGAGGGCGCTTTGTCATGATTATCCCAGTAGCCCTTTCCCTAGATGTGCCGTATTATATTTCAATATGTGCCATGAAATAAAAAGATTACAAGTAAGATTCATATGGCATTTATTTTTTAATGTAGCATCTACTATCACCTTATGTCATGAAACAGGGAATATTTTCAAATACAACAAAGAAAATCTCAGAATAAAAAACTCCTTTATATTGAGTATATTTAACACTAGGGAAAAACACAGTACATTGTCTTTATTTCTCTTTTTGCCAGGGACCCAACAAACTTCATTATAATCCAGCACTAGATTGAAAAACACTGAAAACAGCTAATTTGATAACGGCAATTGGAGATTAATATCAATCTAAAAGATGTTGGGGGAACCTATGTGATATCTGTAGAACTTCCATATTACTTTCCAAATTGTATTTTGTGCAATCCAATATTAAAATTTATTTGTATTTCTTACGCATCAACTGAGAATCGTAAGACGGGCCAAGGAGCACTTAGAGTTTTGTTTTCTGGAGAAACAACTTAACAAAAATACCAGTTAAGCATTATGCTACGTGCCCAACATCCATGAATGAATAAGATTATTCTCTGTATTCGAGAGCTCAGAGGGAAAATAAACATCCAATAAAATAAAGATTAAGGAGATAAGTGCTGCAATAGATGTGTGTACCAGATTTAGAGACAGTGCAGAGAAAGTTGTGGCATTGTTATTATTTTGCAGGGAGGTGGGGGAAGCATGAGGAGCTCTTGCCATTTTTCTGAAGCATGGAGGGATCTGAAAGTGACTGATCTCTGAAGAGGACTTCGTTTTCCCAATAGTCACTTACTTTCTTTGCTTATAGAAGTCCTTCTAGAAGAGTTCAGAGCCCTAATGCAAAGAGTGTTTCCAAACTTGGATTCCAAAGTTACTATCATTCCTTTTTTACTTTAATTATGCTTGAGGTATAGTCTTCCTTCCCCTCTTATCATTGAACTTCTTCAGTGGGCCTTTACTGTTAAAACTGATGCATGCAAGGAATTTTCCTTGATTTGATGATTTGATGCAGATTTGGATATATCCTTAACATTTTATATAACAAGGCTAGAACCAGAGCCTTCTTGCAAATAGGGGTTAACTAATAACTTAGTAAATTAAGCGGACATGCTTAGACTATCTGCTGCCATGACAATGGAGAGACCAGGTTGAAAACCTGTAACCTGGACACTGCAGTAGAGGTAAGATCTTTTCTAGATCATTGGTTCACTTCCTCTATGCATCAGCTGTGAAAATGTGGCCTCAGATACTATCTCCTGGCATGCACTTTTCATTATAATTATGCATGGTCCATGCCTCAGTCCCAGTTGGAAACACACCTGTGATTTGCTTTTAAAAATAAGATGAATTCAAAGATTAAATGAAATCAGTCATTGTAATAGGAAACACTGCATAGAAAAAATACGTTTTAAATATATTCTGGATCTCTCTTTTGATTCATTGGTAGAATTTTTACATGTTAGTGACTTCATGAAGATTTATAACTGTTTAGCAGATACATGAGCTACTTCAATTTTCATATAATTTTTTTTAATTTTAAAATAATAATGGCATAGTTCTGCATGATAGAAAACCAGCTTTTGTTTTTAAGGAAATCTCACAATATTCTTTCATTATGAAAACATGCCATTTTTCAGTAAAGTCACGCAAAAGGATGTTTTCCTTCATGTGATTTTTTAATAACTAAGTATAATTTATGAAATATATAGACAATTACTGGTAGTTGCTAAGAAACTCTTCTGAAAGCCATAAGCCTGTATTCTTGCTAAGCACATAACAGGTGTTCCCACTCCCTGTGTCCTTTGTATACACATTCATTCTGTATTCAAATCACAGAAGCAAGAGGCAAGATAGGGTCTGTTACCTCACTGCTAATTTCCCTAGCAAATAAACCAGCAGCTGCTGGTCCAAGTTACCACTGAGAACAGGGCACTGCATGCATGGGACAGGATGCTTTCATGGAGCCCTTCGGTGACACACTTGGGGTCTTTCAGTGCAAAATATACCTCCTTCTCTTCGGTAAGGCCCTGTGTGAATTGTGTTTTAGCTGTTTGTTAGGTTTTTTTTTTTTAATTGTGGACATAAGGTAAATATTTGCTTTAGGCTGTAGATGCATTCAGATAATTGAAGAGCAGGTCAGAACCTTTTAACAATAACACACTGTTACAGCAAAGAAGCAGGAACATTTAAGAGAAATGAGTTTCAATAAATAGATTGTTATTGTTTTCTTGGAACAACAATTATTGTCATAGCACTCATTAAGATAATTCAGATATTTTTAAAAGATAATGAATTTCTTCTTTTAGAGTTTACATATAGGTTCAATAGTCTTTAATGCATTTATTTCAGCAAATATTCTAATAGGCCATGAAATTGTGACCACTTAGAGTGAAACTACAAATAATTTACGAAAATTGTTTTCTTTTTAATTAAAGATATTGTTGCAAACTGTTTACTGCTTCGTTTTAAGTTATCTGTCTCATCTTATGAAATATGGAAGAAAGGTAAGATTCCAAACTAACAAAAAAATTTCCTACACAAAAGGGAGAACGTATTTGAAAAGATTGTTACTCCAAAATGCCTTTAGCTTTTCTCTTTGCCCAATGGCTAGTCCTATTAAGAATTTTTTTCTACCTTAATATTTTCCCTCATTCTCCTCTTTATCTTTTGAGTTTAAAGGAGTCTCTTTCCAGCATTCCAACTGCTGTCTGTCAACATTATTTTCACCAGATGTTCTCATTTCCATTCTTCCTATTTATCAGTTTTAAAAGTCAAATCAATTTCTTGTTTTGTTTATATTCAACAGATAGGAGTTCAATTAAGGCTACATTTTTTAAAAATTAAGAACAGCTTAGCAAAATAAGCAATTTAACTTTTAGGCTTCTTCAGCTATTTAGAGCTTTACTTTCACTCCTATATTTTGTTAAAGTTTGCATTGTAAATGTTATTATTCAAATTCATACCTACTGTTGTACCTATCTCACACATTTGAAATGTACAGTTTGTAAATTTTTTTAAGTCTTTGAGTTTCCCAGAGTTGTGATTGTTCCAGTTATCACAGTATTTATGTTATCAAATTTAAGCCTATAATAGATTTTTGTTTTCTAAAATTTTTTGAAAAAGTAAATAATTATTATAACTGTCACTACCTTTGTGCATTTGTCTTCCTTTTGAAAGTATCCTGGGTCATCATCCCACTTATTTTTATATTTAAAACAGTAGGACTACTATCATTTTATAAGTGTTGTTTTTGAAACTGGCGTTAAGAAGAACTTAGAGACAATTTAGTTAAGGAATTCAACTAAAATAAAACAAATGTACATTAGGAAAATAGCATGTTCATAAATAGCTAAAGCAGTTTTTATACCTTAAGACCTTCTCTCTTCTGCAAATTTGCTTTTCTCCATAGGCAGTGTGTTGTAAAGACCACAGATGACTTGGCAATCTTTGCTTTTAGGAATATTGAAGTTTTGTTTGCTTCTTCTTTTTAAAAAATTTTTAAAAATTTGAAGCCTAAAATGTACAGTTTGTACAGTTTATTCAAAACACATCATAATTTCTATTTTCTCTAAAGATGCAAGATTTTATTTTCAGTCAACAATACTTGTGTTATGCTTGTTAATACCACACATGATAACAGGGAAGTAAATGCCAGCTATTTTGAGCTACAGCAGAGGTCACTTTGTGAAATCTGATGTTTATATTCAATACAATGAAACCGGTCTAGGGAGTCCTTTGTTGCTGGAATATAGATAAATTCTACAGTAGGACTTCAAGTGTACCTTAACACTGGATACTTTTTTATAGTGCTATTGTCATACAATGTAAGAGGGTCTGTAAAGGAGGGATCATTGCTGCAATTTTGTATGTCAGATTATGATTAGTATTATAAATGTTTCTCCAGATTTGTGTAATGCCTTATATGCAAAAAGTCAAGATTTTTTTAACAGAACTATAATTTATAAGAGTTTTTGTTTGTTATACTCAGAAAGTAATAGTGAATATAATAATAAAATCGAATTTAAATTTCCGTTTAAGTCCAAATATTTGGACTACTAAAAATAAATTTAAATTTCATCAATTTTTATATTATTTATTATTTTTGTTTTTGTATTTTTTCAAATAGAGACAGAGGTCTCGCTGTGTTGCCCAAGCTGGTCTTAAACTCCTGGGCTCAAGCAATCTGCCACCTCAGTCCCCTAAAGTGCCTGGGATTACAGGCATTAGCCACCACAACCAACCTTTTTATATTATTTATTTTCTTGAAGTTTATCTGTTCATGCAGAGGATGATTTTCTAAAATCAATAGGTTTAGTCCTTTGGGTTTTCTCATACAACTAGAAAAGAGCACTTGAAAATTTCTCAAAATGAAGCTAAGTTTTCTCACATTAGTAAACTACTGTGTTTGACAGCATGAATTCATCACATCTGTAGTGGGTGACACATCAATGATAAGAGAGTATGTGTTCCTAGAATGTGGAGGAAGCATTCAATTATCTGTTTATTCCCAAATTTCACTACAAGCAAAGATTGTATCATATTGATAGGTTCATGTCCAATGAAGAGATTTTACGTGGCTGAGATAAGATACTGTATAAAGAAAATTTCATTCCCTGCTGACATTCTTATAACTTGCTACCTATAATTTATCTGATAAAAAATTGTATAGGCAATCTCTAAGCAAATAGTTACTGTAACAGCTGTGCTATTTCTCACTGTCACACAAACATTTGAAAAAGCATACATATTTGAAAAAAACTTTTCATTTAATAAGAAAGCACTGAACCTATTCAGAGATATTGATGGCAATATATTATTTAAGGTATTATTACATGATGCAGTCTAAAATAGACCCCAAAACTAATTTTCCCCTAAATAATGATCACAAACGCTATATTAAATATCTTTTTCTACTAATGTAGTGTTATTTTTTCTCAGAGCTTCAATATTTGTATTGTATTTAATATTTCATTAAATAAAATTTTCCTCCTATAATTTTAGTCATGGACTCTCTAACCAGTCTTTTCATATTTAAGATTCAACATTCTGGGTCAAGATCCAAAAGTCATCAACATTTCTATTCCAGCAATATTGTCACCCCATAGTAATATAGTGCCTCCCAACCATTTCCAGAATATTAAATAAATCTCAATCTTTTCAAATATAACTACAAAGGAAGTCAATTACAAAAAAAGCAGAGAAGGACTTTTGCAATGGCTTTCCCAAATGACAAGCACAAAATGGGTCAGAATCCATTCAGACCTTCTCAGCCTAATGGTGGTTTCTAGGCTGAGTTGTGAAATGTCCTAAGTGAACCAACACATCCATGACAAAGCTGCTCCCTATTAGCAGCCATGCAGCTTTTTCCAGTGCATTCCCAAGGCAATTATACAGACTTCCATCATTCCCCTTGATTTCTTTGTAAAAAACACAGAATTGCTGTTTTATTAAAGGATATCCAAGGATTGACAACTTAATATATGAACCAAAAACTGGGACTCAATTCTTCAAAATTATTTAGGCCCTCTCTCAATTTGGGTCCTCTCAAAACTCTCTGGGCCCTTCACCTTCAAATATAGGTAGCTGCTACCCTTAGAAAAGCACCTCAGGTTGTCAATAACATAAAATTAAGAGAGTCGAGAAAGGCCTTACACCTTATCTGATATTACCTCCTATTCACACATGAGAAAACTGAGTCTGAAAATTAAAATGACTTATTTAAGGTCACATAACTGACCAATCACCATTTTACCCCAAGTATGTGTCCTTTACTAGGACTTCATATTTCAGTAGATCTTTAACTTTATTAAAGTAACAAGCACAGTAATCTTCAAGTTAAGAGAATAGGTGCTTGAAAATCATTATTTTAGAGCTATTTGCAAGTGATAAATTTAAGACTCAATGGCGGACATAGAACATGGGAGTCCAAGATCAGGAGTGAGCCATGAAACACTTGTAAATATTTTCATATTTACACAAGTAAAAAAAAAGGAGGGAGCAATACACTTAATACAGTGAAAGGTCCAATTTACATATCTTAAGTTAGTAATAACAGGTACTAAGCCTATTTTTTTTTGTTGTCGCTTACCAGGAACTTGTCAGGAACTGCCTATCTTCAACTTCAATGAAAGACATATAAATGCATTTTGTTTTGTACAGAAAACAGATAGACAAAGAGGAATCTTTTCCTGTGCTGATCTCCCATCCAAAGGCCCAATGTCTTACTAAACCTATGACTTTAAGAGTTTCACCCCGACTGTCAGCCTCTGCTTCACATATCTTAGACATCACTAATTTTGAGACATAGATTTCTCTCTCCCATCTTTCTTTCTCTCTCCTACTATTTCCTTGCGAAAACCACTACTTCTTTTCTGCAGTCCACTTTATCTCCTCTTTAGAATTCCCAGCACCCAGTTTTCTCTTTTTCTAATCACTCAAATTAGGAAAAATTCCAGATTTAATAGTCTTACACTTGGCAGAAAAGAATACAGAAGGGAATTCTCATCTTTGTAACTGCTTTGTTATGGACCAATCACCAAAGTGTGCAAGTAGGTCCATTATCAGAAGAAAAAAAAATTCTTAGAAGTTAATCACAAAAACACACAGAGGCCAATGAGACAATAAGACATGTCTTTATGTTTCTTTTACAGTCATCTGCTTTTCAGTCCATATGGTAAGTTTCAGTTGCAAGTCTAGGAGTCTCTTCTCCCTCTAACTAACTATCTTCCTCTTTGGTGTTTTCTCCTCTTGGATTCTTTCCTCTAACTTCTCTGCCAACCCCAGAGTCTCACTCTCTACTAATAGCTAGCCAAAGGCCCAAACTGTGGGAATCTTTGCTTCTACCTCCACTCTGGGAAGGAAGGAGATAAATTTACTGTTGGTAGAACTGGATTCCTCATAGGAACAGGCCTACATCTTTGAGTTTTTCCAAGGAAATAATCACAAAAGGCAAACAGATCTTTCTACCTTTCCCTTTTTAAAATTGATGGCCTTTCATGACATGACTTGGATGAAGCTTGAGGACTCCCTTTCTAGTAGAATGAAATCAAAAAAATGTAGAAAAAAATGAAAAAGTGGAAGCGATCAAAGAGGATGAACATTTTGTACTTGAGAAATTTAAAATTGTAAAATGCTTCTATTTATATCTAATTTCCATCTCTTCTCACCTGCTTAAGGATTTTATTCCACTTTCACCCATCTCTATTCTGCCTCATCAACATTTCCCTTTCCAGTGAAACATTCCCAATAGCAAAAAACTCTCTTTATTTCACATTTTTGATCCTTCTCCAGCTTCTGTCCCATCTCTCTGGTCCTCTTCACAGCAAAACTTCCCTAAAGTGTTGTCTATACTCATTGTCTACAGTTTCTTTTCATTGTCTATTTTTTCTCTCATCATTCAAAATATTCCACATTTAAATTTCTCTCACTCTCTCCTCTATTACGTCAAATGTTCCTATGATGTAGGTATCATATTGCCCCTTTTAATATGAGGATTTTGAAGCAAAGAGCTTCCAGCAACATGGTAACCTGAGCTAAGGAAGACTCTCTTCCCCCTGCAAATACATAGAAATGCTAAATAAAATAAAATAATATATCATGGCTTAAGGTAAGACGGGGAAATCTCCAGTTGCCAGAAACTGGGAAGAAACATGAAGATACAGCAGTGAATGCATGGGTCCACAAATCCCCAGCACTGCCCAGGGCTATCCACTGGGCAGAGCTCCATGCCCCAAGGCCCTCTCAGGCCCCTCATTCTCTCTTAAATTCACATTAATCAGGATTTCACAACATTGCCTCTTAGATGTCTAATGGGCATCTCAAAATGAACGCTCCCAAAACTGAATCCTCGTCTTCCCCACAAAAACTATTCTCCCCACAGTCTTCCCCATGATTAATTTATTTACTGCAATTCCTTTCTTCCAGTTGGTCCGAGTCAAGAAGCTTGGCATCCTCTTTGTTTCTGACACCCTCAAAGTGTCACCAAATCCTTTTGTCACAATCAGCCTTTTTCCAAAACGTCTTTTACTAACACCCTAGTTTCCAGCACAGTTGTCTCTGGCCTATTACATTGCAGTCACCTCCTAACTAAGTGTTCTCCCTGTTCCTGCTCTAGCCCTATTCCTGTGTATTCTCACAGCAGCTAGACTAGGTCTAATAAAACATTTAAAAAAATAGCCCTTTTCTGTTCATGAAACTCCTATTGCATCCCCATCTTAGAGTAAAATTGCCAGAGTTTTTCCCGTGATCCTAAGGTCCTGCCAGTCTGTCACAGCCACCTCACTGACCTCATATCTTATCATGCTCCTCCTCCTCCACTGTGCTCCATCTGTACCTGCCTCTTGCTGTTTCTCAAATACACCAACCAGATGCCTGTTCTGGGTGGAAATAACTGGTCATGACTGATAATGGTTTAATACCACTCTCCTTGGGATATTTGCATTTGGCAAGCATTTGGCTAAAAGGAAGAACTTCCAATAATGGAATATTCAGTCATTTCAGACAGCTTTAAGGGAAACTGTTGGGAGGAAATAACCTCTAGTATTTCTCAAATCACATAGTTAGATTATGATATGATATGACAGACATTAATATAGTCATAATTCCAAATGTTTTAATGGTTTCATTGGACTTTAGAAGTAGTAAACTTTCTTAGTTCTCCTTTTCCCATTATTCCGTAGCAATCGTAGAAAATAACTTCTGCTTTTCCTTTTTATCTTGTGCAACCAGCACGGTCTTTGGGTGGAGTTTTTTAAGTGCAGAAGGTTTCAGGGACAAATATTTACCTCTATATGTAACCAGTACTAGAATAGTCAGTACCTAGAAGCCACTCTTCTTTGAAAAGGATTATCACCTGATCAGGTTCTCTCTGCATTTGCCCCTTTAGATTGTGAAATGTGGCTCAAGGTCTTCACAACTTTCCTTTCCTTTGCAACAGGTGCTTGCTCGGGGCTGAAGGTGACAGTGCCATCACACACTGTCCATGGCGTCAGAGGTCAGGCCCTCTACCTACCCGTCCACTATGGCTTCCACACTCCAGCATCAGACATCCAGATCATATGGCTATTTGAGAGACCCCACACAATGCCCAAATACTTACTGGGCTCTGTGAATAAGTCTGTGGTTCCTGACTTGGAATACCAACACAAGTTCACCATGATGCCACCCAATGCATCTCTGCTTATCAACCCACTGCAGTTCCCTGATGAAGGCAATTACATCGTGAAGGTCAACATTCAGGGAAATGGAACTCTATCTGCCAGTCAGAAGATACAAGTCACGGTTGATGGTGAGTCCCCTGTGAGTGTACGAGGGCAGCAGTCTAGCATGGTAGTTAGCAAAGGCTCAGGAGACTAAACTACTTCGGCTTTAGATCTTGGCTTCACAACTTTGCACAAATCAATTAATCCTCAAAGCCTCAATATCTCATGGCACTAATGACATTATCTACCTCACAAGGCTTTCTGAAGATTAAATAAGACATGCACATAAGAGATATACCTAGTGCAATAGGTAATCAAGCACTAAGTATAACTTATTGTTTGTTTGCCTGGGAACTATCAAGTATAATGTTGCTAATTTGATGAGATGGAGAAAATCTTATTTTCTCAACAATAGACTGTACCCTGGGAAGAGTCCTATTTTTGTCATGAAGATTTTTGTTTCAGTACACTGTTTGGAAGAGGATGAGACTTGTGCAAGAATGGTACTTAAGGACAATGGACATGCCTGGAAATGTCCTCTGAGGAGGAGTGGGGTCAGCTAACTTTCAGACACTTATTTTCCTTATTGAAATAAGTGACATATGTAAAATATACTATGTCCAAGCCCAACTTCTGATTTTTGATCTCTACACCTGTTTATTTGACAGTATTCCCCATTTTAATAAATACAAATTCCATTCTATCAATTGCTCTAGCCAAAACCTTGTAGTCACCGTTGACCTCCTCTTTTTCTCACATCCCACATCCAGTCCACGGGAAAGCCTATTGGCTTTACCTTGAAAATATAGACAAAATCCAACCACTTACCACCCCCAGTACTGCCCCACTCAATACCACAATCAGCCGCGGCCTGAACTGTCCTAATAGCTTTGCCACCTACTCTCCCTGCTTCTATTCCTGCCTCCTTCAGCTTAAAATCCTCCCATTGCTTCTATCTCACTCAGAGTAAAAGTCAAATTATTAACAATCTGCAATGCCCCACATACCCAGCGCCTATCTGACCCCATTTTCCTATCTGCATCCCCCTCACTCACTCGGTTCTGGCCATGCTGGCCTTCATGCTTTTCCTGGAACGGGCCAAAACACACTCCTCCTCAGGGCCTTTGTACTTGCTGTTTGCTCTACCTAGACAGCTTTTCTCCAAGATACTAGCATGCTCCCCTCGTTTCCTTTAGGTCTTGGCTCAAATGTCACTTTATCTGTGAAGCCTTTACTGACCACCCTATATAAAATGTAATCTCACTTCTCCAACACACACACACACACACACACACACACACACACACACAGACACACATGCTCAGAGAAAATAGAAAGAGAGAGAGAGAGAGTCACTCTCTATCTCCAATTCTGCTTCTCTCTTTTTCATAGCTTTTATTACTACCTGGGCATATTATAGATTTTTATTTGTTTATTCTTTCTCTTCCCTACCTAGAATATGAGGTCCCTAGGAGCAGGGACTTTGTATTATTTGCTGCTTTGTCCTCAGTGCTTAAAACCTTTGCTGACCACTAGTAGATTCAGCAACTATCTGTGGAATAAATGAGTGGCCACAGAGGAGACTGGGGAGGCTTCAGAGGAGTAAAGATGCAGAAGGTAGAAGCAAATGCCTAGAGAGCAACTGTGGGGAAAAAGAAAAGAGAGATCTAAAGGGAATTTCCATGAAGATTTCCTATATGGTGTCCTGTCTCCCTCCTAATAGAATCCTTTCTTGTGAATCAGTAGTAAAGTTGCATCTGCTTAGGAAAATGCAACCAAAAACTTAGTAAAGCCTGAATAGGGTTTTAGGCCCCATGCCAAAATTCTTCTCAGAAGAAAAACTTCTTCATCTGAGTTATACTGTTTTAAGCAAATGTATGATCACAATACCAGTGACTATTCTAATGATTGGTTCTTCTCATACAAAACTGTTGATGTGTTACCTATTTATCTCATACCACTTACAGTTCCACACACAGGTACATTTGAAATATAAGCTTTTTCTGCATATTAAATGTACACAATTTATTTTTCTTTTAAAATCATAATATCATAAACATAAAGCCTTTCCCAGTCTTTTGTTCTTGCCAGGGAAGATGAAGGATTAAATTAAATAGATGAGCCAGTTGATTACACCCTTCTTGAAAAGTGCTATAAGCTTCAGAATTACTCGACTCCCCCATAAGTTACCTTTCGACTTCCTTTCTCTTATCTTTCACTTTCTTCTATCTTCTCTGGGATGGAGAATTTGGTCAGTTTGTGCCCTAATGCACATTTTCCAGTGTAGAAAAATATGAGCACAAGTCAAAATAAATCTACCTGAGGAAGATGCATTGACCCTAATTAAAAGCTTGAAAGGAAATTGAAGTCTAAACATTGGACACAATCATCTCTCACTTATGTATCATCCTATTCTCTCTGTGTCATGTAGTCATACATAGAAGGAGATTATTAAATACACCTCTCTCCAAAATGCAGAAGAGAAACATTGCCAGATGTGAAGCCCTCTTCATTTTGCTACTGACTGCTGTGTAACTCTGGGCAAGCCACTGTTTTTATCGATTAAGTCAAGAACTTCAATGATTAAAGAAAATTGCCAGAAATGGTTGCGGATTCTTATATAATTCTACCATGCTTATATAATCCATCAACTTTACAGTTAAAATTCAGAGAGCAAATATTTACTCATTTTTGGAAATTTGCTTTGACAAATATTATTAAGAGCCTACTGTGTGGCAGATGATGAAATAAGACTATTTTCCTATGACTTGACTTTCCAACAGGAATTTCTATCGGATTTGTATTTTTTTCTCTAATTTGATAAAAGCCCAAGAATATATTTTATCCTATTTTCAGACTGAGTCAGTGTTGAAATAAATGTAGGTTTTGGTTTGTTAAAGTGCCTAACATAATGTTACAACACAAATGCAAAGCAATTAAAGTTTATAATTGCTTCATGACATACATAGAAAGAATAGTTTTACATATGTGATTCACTAAAATTATCCCTCAGTTTCCCAAAAGTATAGTATATATGTTAGCTGTATATTTTGCAGATGATAGAAATTTGAGTTCACCACATCCATCCCAACCAGCTGCTATTGGGACATTAGGACAAATCAATAGAGGGGAATAACCATAAAAATTTTGCCTGTGAAAGTGTACCTTTATGGTGTTGGTGAAAGCACAATGAACAGGAAATAAGGAAGCTGACATTCTCAGCCACCTATAAAGTAAAGGGCTTCATTAGACCATCCTTGAAAAGTAAGTTCTGGAATTTGATTATCTCTGACTATAAATGATATTCTCATATTTTGTCATTTTGCATTTTCCCTGGCTTTTTATTCTCTTCTCTTCTTTAGTTATTACCTGAGCTGTCTACATTTACAGTGTAAAATGCTGGAATAATTTCTCCAGGAGTTCATATTTGAAAGACCTCATAGGGTTTTATTATATTTCCATGAAAAGAAAAAATCATTCATATCTCTCTTAATATTGCAGATCCTGTCACAAAGCCAGTGGTGCAGATTCATCCTCCCTCTGGGGCTGTGGAGTATGTGGGGAACATGACCCTGACATGCCATGTGGAAGGGGGCACTCGGCTAGCTTACCAATGGCTAAAAAATGGGAGACCTGTCCACACCAGCTCCACCTACTCCTTTTCTCCCCAAAACAATACCCTTCATATTGCTCCAGTAACCAAGGAAGACATTGGGAATTACAGCTGCCTGGTGAGGAACCCTGTCAGTGAAATGGAAAGTGATATCATTATGCCCATCATATATTGTAAGTTTATTTTTTTTTAACTCATGAGTTGTTTTTTGTTGTTTTCTGAGAATATCTCCCAGGATAGTCACAGAGAATATAAGTACCAGATGTCATTTGGCTTTTTACCATTATTGTAGTTCAATAGTTCTAATCACACCTCCTAGGCACTGTCTTGTATGAAATATGTCTGCTAGCACAATCCTATTTCTTAAAGATCAAGTTGAAATACTGGCCAGGGGCCACTCAGGTTGTATTTCGTGATTCAGTCTATTGTGCGACCTCATTTCCAGCGGAAAGCAAGATTCTCAATTTCAAGAACCCAGAACAATGCAGAGGCTGCAATGAAAAAAACTGAAAGAATATCTTGAGAACTTTTTTCCTCTCCAAATATTACCATTCCTGAATTTAACATACTTTATTCTTCTCTTGTAAAATATTTTCTTTACATCAATTCTTTCTTCTAGCTCTTTATCTGTATGTCTTCCCATCCCTACCTGCCTGTCTTTAAACTCTAGCCATAGGTTTAAATGAAAAAGTCCTGGGGAAATTTACTTAAGCAATTATAGGCAAATGCAAATATCATTTTTGACATATACTTTTGTTTTGCTATACAGTTCATATTAATCTGGCAAAATGAAAATAACATCTTTCTTTCAACATGTGCAAGTCTATGCACCAATCTCATTATTATCACAGAATATGCTGTGATACACAGTGTGGAAAATATAAAAATGGGAGAGAAAACCATAATCAAACCTGCAAATGTTAAATATTATGCTTTAGGCTCCTAAGCCTTCTTTCCTTCACGATGTTATTTGAAAGAATGAGAATACCCCAATTTGAGTAAGTTCACACTTTACAGAATCTATCTTTTGCTGACAGACTGAACTTTCTTCTTTACATTATTTTAAACATTACCTATGAAAATCTCATAGAGAAACACCTATCACATGCAAAGACTAACGACAGATAATAGAAAGAAGAACATTTAGACAATTTACAAATGTGGCTTCCATTTACACATTGTAAAGATGAATTATCTACATGGCTTAAGAAAGATTTTGACTCATTAATTGGTAATTGTGAACATTGCATTACTAATTTTTGTCTTCACTATTTTTACTTTCAAATGCAGAATTCTTCACTTGGTCAACATCTCATCTTATTGATATTCATTCATTCACTTACTTATTCATTTATGCACTCATTCATTTATAGATTATTTGATTTTAAAAAATGAAACATCAGGGTCTTGTTTGTGCTAAACAATTACTACCTACCATATAACATGTACAAACACAACCCAGACCCATTAATTTAATAATTTTTCTTGCTATCACTATTTTAGCCCTGTTTTTGTTCTGGTTGGTTGGTTTTGTTGCTTTTGAGTAACAAAAATTAAATAAAATATATACTGTAATCTGAAGATTGGTTGTATATCCTATCTGTGGATGTGGCATCCAAATGTTTACAATCTTTATCATTCCCTGCAAGCTGGGAATATGTGCCTTGGTTGGTGTTATTCACACTTCTCTTTCTTCATCTGGTTGCCTTCTTCTTGCCTCATGACATCATCATCCTTTCCAGAAAGGTTTACCTGCCTCCACTTATCTCACCTCCTCAGTGTCACTAACAGGTTCATTGTGCTCCTTCAGCATCCTAGGCACTCTCATTCCGGGTCCTCACTGCTTTATATTTTCCTTGACTCTTGTGAACACCCCAAACCCAAACCAGAGTTCTGCATTCTTCATCTTTGTATCCATAGGGCAATAGCTGACAGAGATTAAGAAATCAATAAAGTTTCTTGAACTTAACTAAAATGGAACAGATTATCTTTCTTCATATCCCTTTTAGATTCCAGTGTTACTTGACGATGCTGTAAAAAGGCTAAATTCTCATTATAAGGTGACAGCTTCTTCATTATAGTGCTTTGGCACTTTTTTTTCCTGACCTTTAGCAAAATCAAGTATTCTGTTTTCTAAAGGCACTGTTTCTGTGAAGGGTTTTTTCATGAAAGTAGGAACTATTTTTTATTTTGGCAGAAAAAGTATAATAAAATCTATTAAGATTGACTATATACTTATGAGGTTGTGATGTCATAATCTGGTATTGGCCTTGGTGGAATACAATGTCAAGCCAATAACTCAGACAAGTATCTACTTGCAGTTCATGATATGCCTTCAAGCTCCAGTTGTAAATAATAACCCAGTAACCACTGCATTTTGTGTGCAACATATGGCAATGCTGCAGTGGAGAGCTCTAAGTGATAAAAATTAAAGGGGAAAAAAGGTCATTCACAGTAAATACTTACCATCTGCTCCCAAGCAGGGCGGCAAACAGCATCATGATGTAAATTTAGGCACTGTTCCCACACAGCCATAAATTGTTAAAGAGAACAGATGATATGTGATTTTACAAGTCATTTAGTAAACAGCCATCCCCAAGGCAAAGGGTTCATTTCTATTGGGAGCTCTCTGCCAAAGGCAAGAAAGTAAACCATAATCCAAAGTCAAAATGGAATTATCCTTCTGCTTTCATCTTCAGTATCAGAGGTCACTCTAGTTGAATCACTCCAAATATCTCCAATTGGATTGCCCATTCACTCGAATAATGTACTAGGCTGCCCCTCCAAGTAGAGGGATGGTCAGCCTGGAGTTCTAATGATAAAGGAAATAACATCATAGTAGAGTCAGAAGAAAGTATATTGTAAGCAACATGTAGAGTGTGAGATGTAGTTAAATTTGTGTGCATGTGTGATAAAGAGAGAGAGAAAAAGATGCATTAAAGTAAGACTTGAAAATTATCCACTGAAATGTGGATATTGGTTCTCTGAGCAATAAAATTACAAATGACTTTCTTTTCATCTTTGTGCTTCTCTGAATTTTAGGATTTTCTGCAAAAAAAAAACCGTGCATTTCTTATATAAACAGATAAACTATGTTACTTTTTAAGAAACATATCAGAAGCAAGGAACTGAAATGCTTCAAAGTGTTAGGTTCCAAGAGTCGGAAGAGGTGTTGAGGTGGGGGCAAGGAAGTTTGAGGGATGTGAGGCTGCTTCTGAAGAGCCAAATATAGCATATAAATAAAACAGACAGAAGAGAAAAAATTATGCCAATCATGAAACCCAATAAATGGGGAAGTAACGAAATCAAAATACACATGATTAAGGAAGATAAGATAATCAGATTACTTTCTTTAAAGGTATTTTTATTTTAAACCAGAATGAACTTATTAAATTAGGTAATTGACCTTATTTACTAGCCTTGGCTCTAAATGACTATGGGCTTCCTCTACAAATTAAACCTACCCTCTGAAATTGAAATTGAAGAATTACTGCTTGTGAGAATACTCCATTATGCTGCAGGGTCCTAAGGCAACTCCAAATGAGGAGTTCCCCAAAAAGTTTTGAGCAATGTCAGCATGCTTGAAAAGGAGTAACACTCATTTTTATGTGTATTAAATTACTAGACAGTTTGTTTTTATAGCCCCATTCTCTATACCCTGAAAACCAGGGGGAAGACGAAGACCTAAATTGAGTGGCTGTATTTTCGTGACCACATTTTTCTTCTTTATCAAGTCTGCCTTGCTCTACTCTCAGAAAGACCCTCAGACTTTAGATTTTGTACATAGACTCAGGTCTCTTGCTCTCCCAAACTACGGTAAATTCCTCCTGCTGGTTTCCTTCGGTGTGCACCATAACTGCCCGCTGCTTGGTGATCTTTCCTTCCCTAATGTTCTATCAATGCTGACAACATGAAGGGTCCCTTCTGAACCACAGGGCCTGAGATAATAGCCATACATAGTATGTGGTCAACGTCTCAGATGTCTTCACTATGCCTAGACTCATACCATGTGCAAAGTAATCTCAATATTGATTTCGGTTGAGTGAGCAAAAACAAATTTTTGTTCCCATTACACTACTTACTGTTTAGTGGAATTCAGAACAAAAGAGTTCCATTTGACAGCACACTGTTCTAAACCTTTTATCACAGTGGTTTCACCTGAGACTGTGTCACAGCCTGAAATGAGAGAACAGGCTTCTTATACAGTAACAGGAAAGGGGCAGAAATTTCTCCTTATTTTAATCCTGTACCTTCAGTTCCTGATTACTTTAAATTGAAAGTACTAACTTCTGTTTGCTTTCTGAAAGCAGGCTTATCTCATGCAGGTTTATTAATAAAAACCCATATGGTTCCTTCACATTTCTCCATATGTCTTTTTCTCTAGAAAGAAAACATAGATTAGTCTGTTTTCTAGCTGAAGATAATCTATTGTTTTGTATATTCGTTTTCTGTTATAGCTTAGAAAATTTGTCTCCTCTGTGGCAGATTGGTCAGAAAATGCTGACATGATAGAGAACCACTCTGGGAATCTGCAAACTTGGGATTGGTTTGCCAATATCCAAAATGGTTTTACTAGGTTGGTGCAAAAGTAATCACTGTTTTTGCCTTTACTTTTAATGGCATGGCAAGAATCCTGGTGTTTCAAAGGGGTTAGAAAGAATCTTGGCAATCAGTCCTCTAACCTGTCTTTTTATATTAAAAGGTGAGGAAAATGAGACCCAAAAAATTCAAATGACTTCTAAAGAATGCCTAGCTAGTGATTGAAAAAATTAGTTACCCTAATGTTTAGTTACTACATTCTATTTTTCTATATGTTGAGAGATAAATAGCTTATACTTTTAAAAAAATCAGGACCTTTAAGATTAGGCCATTACTGAGCAAACCATCCATACCCATATCCAGTTTGTAAATTCCCTAAGAATATGAATGTCTCATACCTCTATCTCCCGTATACTAAATATATTATCTCATACTTAGCATCATCTCTCAAATAAATATTTATTACTTGATTGGATGATTACAGAATTAATATTAATATATAATTAGTAATTGATTGTAGAACTAGTACTACAGTTAGACAACAACAAACTATTATGATATAGAAAGTTATACCACTTATACTTTATTTCTTTTTAGAGAAGTAATGTGAACGATTAAGTGCATATATTTTAGAAACCCAGCTCTGCTATTTAATAGCTATATGACCATGGGCAAATAAATTGTTTAAATATCTCTTTCCTCATCTTAAAATTAGAATAATAACATCTACCTCATGGTGGTTGCTCTAAATATTAAATGTTGTTATCTGCATAAGCACTTAAAGTGCCTTCTCATGGCAGATATCCAATAAATATTGGTAATGATCAGCTGAAAGGTGAACATAAGCACTAAAACTCAAAGATTTTTAGACTATAAGCCAGGATTTAGACTGAATGAGAAAACCTATCTAGGAGAAGAATTTTTTAAAATTTTCCTTATTCTCTGAAGAAAGCAATGGGAAAAGTGTCTTCACCTACTGGCAACCTAACACCATAGAAATGGTACAATGCTACAGGAGTACTGCAATGTGGAAAAAAACACCAGGGGCTAAGTAGTTAATGATAAAGAAGATGTAACTTTTTTTTTCAAATGGAATCCTAATCTTAGCTGGGGTGTGGGTGGGAGGATTTTAAAAATTCTTTAACTGTTAAAATGTTGTAAAAATACCAAACACCCCTATGTCTATTTGCACAGTGTCCCATGTGAAACAATGTCTTTTATAAATATTTACATGGCCTACCCTAGCACTGAGAAGAAAAATAGATAATACTGAAAGTATGGTTGTTAAAGAGAAAATAGTGGCCATAATCTCTTGTAAAAATATTTTCAAGTACAATGACTATTTCAGAAATATTAATGTGTAGAAGCTAAAAAGTTGATCTAATAGACATAGAGAGTAGAATAGTAGTTACTAGAGATGGGGAAGAGTGGGGTGGTGGGGGGTAGCCAAAAGTTGGTTAATAGACACAAAAATAGTTAATGGACAGCTAGATATGAGGAATAAGTTCTTGTGTTCTATAGCACTAGAGGGTGACTATAATTAACGGCAATTTATGGTGTATTTTCAAACAGCAACAATGGTAGACTTTGAATGTACCCAACAAAAGGAAATAATAAATGTTTGAGGTGATGGAGATACTAATTAGACTGATTTAATCATTACACACTGTATACATGTATCAAAACATGTGATCAAAACATCACACTGTACCTCATAAATACGTACGATTATCATGTCTCAATTAAAAATAATAATAAAATAAATCAGCATATAAAAATAAGCTAGTCACACAAAAACAGCAAGATTGAATTTGTCTACAAGATGGCAGATTTATCAATACATTACTCAAAACCTTAGCATCACAATTATGATGACAGTATTTGTAAAATTGTATATGAAGTTTCAGGCTTTTACTATTTCAGATTAGTTCAAATCACTATTTCAAATCAAATCTCAAATAATTTTCACTTTCATCGATATCAGAATAAAACATATTTAGGTCCTCATCATTTATTGGGAGTCTAAGCAAGGACCTGCTCGTCCAATTCTAAGATGAAAATTTTCAAAAACAGTAAAATGCTACTAAGCTCTCCCAAACTCAAAACCTATGTTGTGATTACTTGTGTTACTTATCTATTTTTTTTTATATTGATGCAGATGGACCTTATGGACTTCAAGTGAATTCTGATAAAGGGCTAAAAGTAGGGGAAGTGTTTACTGTTGACCTTGGAGAGGCCATCCTATTTGATTGTTCTGCTGATTCTCATCCCCCCAACACCTACTCCTGGATTAGGAGGACTGACAATACTACATATATCATTAAGCATGGGCCTCGCTTAGAAGTTGCATCTGAGAAAGTAGCCCAGAAGACAATGGACTATGTGTGCTGTGCTTACAACAACATAACCGGCAGGCAAGATGAAACTCATTTCACAGTTATCATCACTTCCGTAGGTATGTGTGACATACAAGGAAGGGATCCTAATAAAACATGAATGCATGCTGGCCTTGCACTTCCCCTATCTTATACCTAGGTAGAAAAGAAAATCATTGTGGGATTATTCATATATTCTAAAAATCTCTCTTTCCAAAGTTAACTAAGCCATGGTTTCTATGACTCAAAGAAAAAAAATTCAAAATGAAATAGGGGAGAAATTCAATTCAATTGTGAAGGGCTATGAAGAAAAAGGGAATTCCACAAATTACTTCTAAATGTGCACTCTTACTTTCCTAGTTTTATGAACAAAAATATAAGAGAAACAGGCTGTTCATTTAGAGGGTTTATATCTACCACTGCATTAGGTCAGATGAATAAGTCTCCATGAGTTGGGAATCTGGTTTTCCTACTTCTATTTGATTCCCCTTCTCACTGTCTTTCATGGGCTCCCCTTCCTCTTCCACCATTTAAACAGCTGAAATCTATGGAAGTTCACAAGGGGAGTCTCAACACCTTGGAAATTACAAAATTCTGTAAGTCTGTGAAATTTGGCTTTCTCTAGAAATCATCTGATTTTCAGAAATGTCATCAACCCGCAAAGATTAAGAATTACGGCCTAAAATATTGATGTCCACCAAATTCTCATCCTTCTACACCTTCTCTTCTCTCTCTACAGAATGGTTTTATTCTCCTGTATGATTTTCTGTATGATTTCATTCATTTCCATGTCTTCATGTAACACTGGTACATCCCAAATCTATATCTTTAAAGCTCTAAAACCGTACACCCAGCTGCCTCTGGATGTCTCTGCTTGGAAGTGCCAGAAGCACCATACAGGTCTGATATATCAAAACTAAACCATCTTCTTTCCCCCAAAATTGCTATTCTGTCTGTATTGCCTATTTAAGTGAATGGCCCTACTAACTACCAACCTAAGACAGAAAGCTAAATGTCATCTCAGACTCATTCCTCTTGCCTATTCCCTGGTCCCACATTCAGTCACCGAGTTGTGTCCATTTCCTTCCTTCCTATTTCTCAGATACATTTTCTTCTCTCCTTCCTCCTTCTTTTGCCTTTCTTTACTTATTTCTTTGTATTCTCTTCTCCTTCTCCCTCTCCCCTTCCCTTTCCCTCCCTACTCCTCTTTCTCCTTTTCCTTTTTCTTCTTCCTCTTCTATGACTACTTCTACTACTGCTAAGTCCTTCTCAGACTCTCCTTTGCACACAAGTCAAATGCCACTTGGGCAAAATCTGGGAGCAGGTTTGGACAGGACATGGTGGTTAAGGTACCTATGACTGGTGGAAGAACAAGTTTATAAAAGCTACTACTCATTAATATCTTTTCTATTGATGCCTTCTCTTTCTTCACCTTTATAGCACTGGTACCTAGAAAAAGACCCATAATACAGAGAAACTCAATATGTTTTGTTGAATAAGTGATGCAACAATATAATTTCTTGTAATCCTTAGGCTCAGTTTTTCAGTATGTTGCCCTTGGGCCATCTGCATCAAGATCACCTAGGGAGGTCGCTAAAAATGTAGCTTCATTAAGACACCTCAGACCTATTGGATCAGGATCTTTCAGGTAGCACTGGAGAATCTGAATATTCAGCACATACAAGTGTGACAACCACTTGTTTAGTATATTTTATCTCCAGAGTGTTTTGAATTTACTAAAAAGTTCCTAAAGAGCCATGAAGAATTATAAGACTATCGCAAACCTACAGGTTGATAAATGTATAGTGAATGGGTTTCTCGTAGGTACTCCTTGGTACCAGGAGGAAAAATCACCTCGGTATTTTGGGATGTATATATTGTCATGGTGGGGGTTTTTTCATATGAAGAAAATGCACTGTTCATTATGATAGCCACTAACCTCATTTGGCTTTTGAGCACTTAACACATTGAGCACTTAACACAATGTGCTTAACACAACTGAGAAACTGAATTTTTAATTTTATTTCATCTTTATTAATTTTAATTTGAATGTAAATAGCCACATGTTTAGTGGTTACCATGTCAGACAATGCAGCTCTAGAATTTTTACCTGAGTTGCTTCATTTGGGCAGTAGATAATAATATATATTTCTTGTAGACCCAAAAAGCATATGTGTTTTAGGGTGTTATAAATTAAGCACCCATTCATTCATTTTTTAGCACTCACTATGGGCCAAATATTGGAGTACGCACTAAGAATAACATATGAGAAAGGTAATTCCTCCTAATAAGAATTCCTGCTCACAATCTAACATGAGTGGCAAACACATAAACAGCTGAGGTACATCCTTTGCTTTCCATTTTATTAATTTTTATAGGCTTAACCAGATTTTCACCCCAGTAGCAAACCAAGACATAATTGTACAGCAAGCCATAATTAAGCACATAAAATAGTAGCAATCCTGGTATCATCTTCAGCTTGTTTCTCATGCTCACTGCAAGTGAAAACATGGCTGTAATGGGTAGAAGTATACTACAGTAAGGCTTTCCCACTGCCTAAACTTTCTGCATTAATATTTAGCTAAGATATTCTCATAATATCAGAAGCCCCCAATATTTGATTAAGATCTTATTACCAAGGTCTAAAGACAGCTACAGTCTTAACGTCAGATAATTGCCTTTTGCAAAATCTAAAAAACCTGTTTGACCTGTACAAAGACCAAGCATTTGTTATTATAGTAAATAAGAAGAGCAGGTGCTTATTTTTCAGAGGGATTCAGAGCTGTCAATATTAGTGACCTCTTTGTGGCTTTTAGAGCTATTTTCTAACCCCCAAATGTCCACAGAGCTTTAACTCAAACAGCAACAAGATGGCAAAGAAAATGAATAGTATTGATGTGTTTTGTTAAATATTTGTTTTTTCTAAGTTTCAAAGTTAATGAACCTCAGCAGGACAGATTAAGTATACATCAACCTACAGTTATAAATGACCATCACTTGCAAGTATCAGTTGAGCCTACTCTCCATCCACTCTGAGGAGTAAACTCTTGAGATCTGTGGAGAATTTGAAATCATTTAAAAGGTTAAAATACCTGCTTTTGAGATGTTTCCAGAACCAAATTGGTGTTTGGTGTCGCCAGTGAAGCTGTAAGTAAGAGATTAACCTCTTACTTCTTAATAAGGCAAAACATTTGGCTGACCAAAAAGTTTTAGCAATAAAACGTGGAAGCCAAAGGAAAACAGAGCCAGAGATGACTCCAAGTTCACAGATATGGAAAGAAAATGACAAGGTCAGGAAATAATCAAGTTTTATTGGGGATTTTCAGTGGGGAGAGGAAGGCTGGAGAGAACAATTAGTTCTGTGTTTTTCTCTTTCTAAGACTACAGCAAATGGTGACTTTCCCCTCTTTGGACTATGATTCACATCTAATTTGAGATATTAATTGACCTTTTTGTATCTCCATGGAAATATCCTAAAGAAAACAGAGACAACAGGCAAGTTCACACAGCTAGTAAGTGATAAATAATATCTGAATTCAAAGCCTTTTTTTTTTTTTTTGAGATGAAGTTTCACTCTTGTTGCTCAGGCCAAAGTGCAGTGGCACAATCTCGGCTCACTGCAAACTCTGCCTCCTGGGTTCAAGTGATCCTCTTGCCTCAGTCCCCCAAGTAGCTGGGATTAAAGGCACGTGCCACCATGCCTGGCTAATTTTTGTATTTTTAGTAGAGATGAGGTTTCACCATGTTGGCCAGGCTTGTCTCAAACTCCTGATCTCAGTTGATCTGCCCACCTCGGCCTCCCAAAGTGCAGGGATTACAGGCGTGAGCCACCACACCTGACCCAAAGCCCTTGTTTTTAACCACTATACAAACTGTCTCCTTTGATATAACTGAGAATGTTGGTGAAACCATATGGTCTTTCTAAAAGGTAGGTATAGGGTCACTTTCTCATCACCTATCCAATTTAATGCTATGTACGTGTACTTTCTCATCACCTATCTAATTTAATGCTATGTACGTAGAGATACTCTGGTTTGTCTACAATGTGTATAATTTCATATTAATGCAAAGTTAGGAAATACTTGTAACTGAAAATAATGTCTATGATAACATTTCAAGAAAAGAATAGCTATTAAAATAATAAATTAGCTTTGTGTTTTGCAAAACAAGATTTTATTACCTTAATTACGGACTTCCTTGAATGCAGATGTCCCTACTTTAAAGTTTTAACTGAGCCAAAATTGCTATTGTGACATGCAATGTATAGACAGACAGACAGAGAGATGATAGATAGATAGATAGATAGATAGATAGATAGATAGATAGATAGATAGAGAATGTTTATGGAAATGTAATCATCTGATCAGTATTCAAATGTTCACATTTAATGAAGGCATTCAATTGTATAAATAGAATTCCCTAAGGCCATGTGGGCATAGTTTGAGATTTATCCATAATAGAAATGTTTTCAATTTGTACGTGATCCTGAGAAAGCTACCATTTTTTACATTTATTTATATTTCCCAACTTTTCTTAAAGAAGAGAACAGGAAAAAGACTCAAGGCAGGAAAATGAATTTACTAATTTTTTCTATCTGGAAATTTCTCAAGTCAAGATGTCTAGGAAATGTATTTCACTTTGGGTCTTTGGAAATGACAATTAAGATAGAACTACAAATCTGACATTCAGACCCTGAGACCTAAGGTGATGTCTCCATGAGCATCCAGCACTGAACAACTGTGTCTGTCAGTGGGCCTATGATGGAGTGTGGAAATGGCACACTCCTCAACGTGGCACCTTCATCTCCGGAGGGACATGAGTCAGCTGCCATAATCAGTGAACAGATTGGATGAGAGAGATCTCAAGACTTCATTTTGATGTAGAAATGGATACACAGACTGGTAGCATATGGCTGTCCTGCCACTGAGTGCAGTCTCAAACAGCAGGGTTGCGATACCATGGATACCACACCTCTTGACCATATTTGCACTTAACATGTTATTCCATTTTATTTGTTTGCCTAAGGAGGAGGCAAATAGCATTTGCACTATGGCTTTGGCACATGAGTCCATCATGTTTAAATAATGGGGAGAATGGCATGCTATGTGCTAAAGAATAGTATAAACTCTCTGAAAGGAGAAAGAAGGAAGCTCCTGCAGGTGTCCAGAACTGCAGAAGTGATCCCTATACATTCTCTATGGCAATAGGGTCAGAATTTCCTGCTGTCTTATTTTCAAGTTCAGGTTCTGGAAGTTCATCTTTGCAAAAACACTTGCCTGCAGCTGAGACCACAACAACTGTGCCCCTTGATTTGATCCTTTACATATTTGGCACTTTTTGTGTGTGTGAAAGGAACAAATTTCAAATGCTGGACCTAGTAAATCTTGTGTGTTCTGGGATAGAGGAGCAGTGTTGAGAGCAGAGAGCCAGAATGCTCTAGAGAAGAGGACTAACAGGAAAGATCATTTCTTCCGAGAAAAGGATTGTCCCTATTCCTCATTCTCCATTGGGAAGACTCTTGGCCTTTGCCACAGCCGTGGTTTTGGGCTGACAGGCACTGGTCACTACAGGAAAGCTCTCTGATGTAGGGCAAACACAGGCCAAGGGAAGAGGCAAGAGGGCAATAAGGAAGGAGCCTAAAGAAATAAGGAAGTAATGGAGGAAGGAAACAGTGGGATCCTCTGTAGGAGAGAATGTGTGCAAATTAGGTCATTTTAGTAAATACATATCAAAAGGGACAAAAAGTTAAAAATGAAGGAGAAGGGAACATATGTATCTTATCTAGTCTAAGACATCCAGTCATTGTATATTAAGCCTACTGCCTGACTGGAGAATCACAGAAGTGTCTGGCAGAGAGCTGATGCCGGCCAGAGTGAAGCTTCACTATTAGAACGGGAACTGCTTGGAAATAGTAATTATTAGCATATGTTCAAGTTTAAGAGGGAAAAAACAGCCGAGACTACTCAAGTGTTTTTCAGCAGTTTTGCTGATGGTAAAGCACATTGCAAAAACTTGAATAGAATAAATTAGCATTGAATTCTTTTTTGAGGAGTCTTCAGGGGTTATAGAATTTTGGTGATGGCAGTCTGGCTATTAAGAAGTGAAAGATTTGAAGCACATGAAGTCGTATGTCAGAAAAAGTTAGAGGAAAAACTGATATGTAAGAGCCTACCTACTAATTGGAAAAACCAATCTTTGACCACAGATTAACAGAAAAAAAGTTGAACTTGCAGTCAGAAAAAAACCTGTCTACTCTCAATTCTAGGACTTACTGACTATGGCAAATATTTTAGTTTCTCTGAGACTCTTTCTTTATCTGTAACTGTAAATGGTATGAATTTTCTTTTGTAAATGGAAAACAAATTGTACATTTGATTTTATGTATATATAATATTTAATATATATTTAATTGTGCATTATCTGAAAATTCCCTTAGCTAGTTTTTATTTTATTGTCAGATCTAAAATGACGAAATAGAGAATTCACTTGCTAAAAGTGGTGCCCAAATCATACGATATATGTTAAATCTTGCCACTCTATTATTTGGTATTTTTTTTCAATTCTTTCTTTTTTATTATTTATTTCTTACCAGTTTTTCTGGTTTTTGTGGTTTTTTTTTTTTTTTTTGGTTTTTTTTTTTGCTTTTTTATCACTGTCACTGTCTCAGAGAGCATTCTATTTGCCTTTATCTTATTGACAACCGCAGTGAAGTATGGGTCCTTCTAAATTTATGTCTTAGAAATGAAATTAAATTTTGTTGGGCTTCCAAAAGTGCACCTCTAGGATGGTAGAGAATCTGGAATCCAGTTATGTAAAGAACAACAAAATGATCTTGGGATGCTGAATCTGAAGAAGAGGATTCTCAGGGGGAGATGTGAGTTTCACCAAACAATTAAGATGACATCATATACAGAGAGGATTTGATTTATTTGTCATTGCTTCAATTGGTAGAACTGAGTAGATTTGGGCTTCATTTGGGAGAAGGACTTTGTTTCTTCTATAATGATTAGGTAAGAGTGGTGGAAAGAGCATGGAATTGTTGTTAGACATTGCTAAATTCAAATTTGAGTCCTGGAGTCTTAGATTTCCCAACTGTAATATGAAACTAATTATTGTATCATAGAAGCAGTAAGTGGTATAACTATTGATTAGAATTTTTAATCCCTAAAGTCTAAAAGACAAATAAAAATGTATAACTAACAAGGAAATAGAGAAGAAAAGATAAATAAAATTCTGATTAATCTAAATTAGGACAAGAAAGGAGAGAGCAAAGGAATAAAAAGGTAGGAAATATAGAAAAAATAATAAGATTGCAGATCTAAACTGAAATATATTACTAATCATACTAGGTCTTAGTGCGCTAAATATTCCAAGTAAAAAACAAATGTCAAACTGGATACACACCTTATGTATGAAGATACTGAAAGGTTTTAATTAAATAGATGAACAGATAAACCATACAAAAAAGAAAGCTAGCATAGCTATATAGCAGGTCTTCTAATAATGTTATTTCATTTCAACATCATTTCATTATAATATTGATGAGAAAAAATATCAATTCCCACTGGGGCCACTGTGTGTGTGCAGTTTGCACTTTCTCCCCCTACCTACATGGGTTTTCTCCAGGTATTCCAGCTTCCTCCCACATCCCAAAGATGTGCACATTCAGTGAACTGTCATATCTGCATAGTCACTGTCTGAGTTAGTGTGGGTATGTGTGTGAGTGTGCCCTGAAATGGGATGGTACCCTGTCCAGGGCTAGTTCCGGCCTTGTGTCCTGGGCTTCCAGGATAGGATTCTAGCCACCTGCAAGCCTGAACTAGAATAAGCAGGTTGGAGAATGAATGAATGAATACGAATGATTGTCAAATAAAAATTTATAAAGACTAGGATAATCATATAAATGCATGACAATAAATGATGTGATATGAAAGTGCTCCGCAAGACTACCAGATTTGTGATGTTAGTTTTTGAACTGCATGATGCTAGGAGGTGCTTTTTACAACTTTCACTTTGTAAACATTTATTCCTTGATTTAACCCATTACCACTACCACTGCCATCATTCACAGATTCACCAAAAATTGAGTAAATAACGATCTTACTTGTTTTATTAATCTTTATTCAATGTATGTATTCATTCAATTTATTTCAGTGTTTGATATTAGAAGTGTTTGGGATCTTTATGTAGAACTCTGATATTTTTCTGACCAGAAATATGTTGTAGAGACTTAGCTCTTGTTTATATCAATTAGCCAATGGTTAAATTGATTTCATTATTTGTTGTTTTGCTCAGTCACAGTTTCCAAGAATCAGCTGATGTTAAGTGAGGACTTACCGTACTGGTATAAGATAATGTACATAAAAATTAGATGAATTAGATAAATTCTTCAAGACAAGAAGCATTAGGAAGTGCACCTAATAAATAGCAAAAATTGACCGAAAAAAATCACAAAGTGGGAGATTTTAACATATTTATTTCAGTAACTAATAAAACAGACAAAAACTCAGTAGGAATAGAGAAAACCTGCCTCACCTAGTTGAAATAATATAAATACTACATACAACAACAGCAGAATACACCCTTTTCATATGACTATTTGTATAGTCATTAAAAAAAATCAACAAACTTCAAAGGATTGCCCTCTAACAAGAATGAAATTAAACCAAAAATCAATAATAGAAACACCACTAGAAAACTCCCAAACTTAAGAAAATTAAGCAACAGACTTCTAAACCCATAGGTCAAATAAGAAATTGCAGTGAAAATTAGAAAACATTTTGGACTTAATGATAATGAAATTACTATGTTTTAAAACTCAGAAAAATGTTGCTCTATAATTACATTGCCTACACTTGAGGAAATGAGGGAAAAAAATAGTGGAAATTAAACTTAAAAGTGTATTGTGTGTGTTTATAAGGTGTGTTAACATATATATGTGCAATTTTTTGAAGACTTTGTTACTAGCATGCCACAGATATAGGGTCCTATTTACATAACTTCATGTAAACTTCTCTGGCTCCCCCAAGTCATAGAGTATCAGAGCAAGAAGAGAACTTAAATGCCAGTCACTCTTTCACTCTTGCCTCCTCATTATACTAATGTGAAAATCAAAACCCTGAGAGTCAAGGGGCTCACCCAAAGTTACACAGCTCTTTAGAGAGAACAATCCCACAAGAGAATAATATCTGAGAAAAGGCTAAGATCTCACAAAGAGACTACCCAAGTGCAAAGTGGTTCCAAACTAAAAGGTCAGCCTTCTAACAGTGGGAGAATATAAATTATTCTACAACTTTTTATGAGGCAAAAATAATCTAAAAAGCTTCATGATGTTCTAGTCTATATCTAGGATCAATAAATTGCCATTCTAGTTCATTTGAAGCTGCCTTGCATTTATTTCTTCTAGCCAAGGTTTGAAAGAGTTTAATTTAAAATCTGTTTAAAGGCAATAAGCAGGACACAGATATTATAATCCCATAGAATAACATTTTAAGAATGCAGTTCTCTGAACGCATGTCAGAAATTTATAAACTCCCCATCAGAAATGGTGAAGATTTTTGATAATGAAAAACAACCTTGTCGAACTCTTTAGGACTTAAGGGAAATATGTGAATGGTGCTGTATTGGGAAATTAGAAGAGATAACCGATTTCCATGATGTGTTTACTCGATTTTTGCACATATGATCTACACTACCTTATTAAAAGATTCCTGTAAGATTAAGAAATGGAAGTATTCTGAGTGGAAAAGCCAAGAGAGTTAATGTAGGTTCATACTGAGAGAAAGAAAAGATTAAGGCTTCCTCCCTTATTTTGGCTGTTGGAGATCTCAGCAGAGATTTTATGATGAAAGATGACACAGTGCAGGCTGGATATTTATTGCAGAGCTGTGTAGCCACCATGGTCTTTACCACACCCAGATTTTCCAGGCTGTTCACCATTGCTGAATGGAAATGGCATCACATGACTTTCACTCACACATTAATCTGGACAGAGACAAGCAACTGCCATGATTTATTTCCACACCCATATCTGATTCACATGGTAATATGGAAGACATCTGTTACTTTCATTTGTTGGAGGTTAAAACTACTTCCTATTATATAGATTGACTATATAACTAAACATATTATAACCTGAAGCTGGTGTTAACATAGCCACAGTTAATAAGTTGTGTTAAAATTATATTAAAGGGAGGCATCATTAAGTGTTAAGAGTCTGGGGTAACATCTGGATTCTACCACTTATAACCCAAGTGACCTTGGGCAAGACTCAGCTTCCTCATCTATTGGAAGGGATGATAAAATAATCTCTCCCTGGTAGGATTGTTGTAAAGATTCAGTGAGTTAATATGTATCATGCACCCTTAGAACAGAGCAGATGTTATTAGCACCGTATTTTATATAGTGATATTAATAAAGGGAATGACTGATAAAACAAAGTGAATTCTAGTCAAAAGGTGGGACTTTAAATATTTTTTTGAAAAATCACACATACATCCTATTTTAAGAATTGACATTTCTTTTTTCTTTTTAATTTTTTTCATCATTTATGGTAAGAGACATTTCTTTATTGGCCAAAAATTACTAAAGTGTGTTTGAAATGAACACCTCCCCTCTTGCACCTTTAATCACATACCATCTCCCTAGAAAATTCACATACTTGAATTATGCTAAAAAAGCAAAATGGAAGGAAAATGAGAGAACAACTTAGCATTTAGGAATGTAGAGACAATGAGATGAAACAGATCTAAGGTGGCAAACATCACTGAGAAGTACGACATGAGATATTGGCTACACCTAGTACAACACAGTCAGTTTTAACTTGGGCAGTGCACCACGTTTCCAATCACAGGTATCCCTAGGGAGTTTAGTGTGTGTTCTAAAATAAGTGCATTCCTTCCATTTGGTCTCTCTCTCTCTCTGTGTGTCTCTAATATACGTGTTTATATATTTTTTTCAATAGCGTCTCATTTAAAATACGGCATTTAAAAAGTCAAGTTATATACTGTAGCAATTTATTGCTAAAAATATGTTTATCTTTTTATTTAGGACTGGAGAAGCTTGCACAGAAAGGAAAATCATTGTCACCTTTAGCAAGTATAACTGGAATATCACTATTTTTGATTATATCCATGTGTCTTCTCTTCCTATGGAAAAAATATCAACCCTACAAAGGTAGGTTAAAATTACAAAAAAAAAATTGAAGCTGTATATATGTGTACTAAAAAAAACCTTACCATTTTTCTTCTCTCTTGATTTTAGTTATAAAACAGAAACTAGAAGGCAGGTAATGCATCTGTTTCTATGAAAATAGTTGTTTTCCTTAGATGCTTATTCCTCAATTATTATCCCTGACAAAAATACCTATTTTGTCTTTTCAGGCCAGAAACAGAATACAGGAAAGCTCAAACATTTTCAGGTAATGGCCAAGCTGAAAAGGGCTATTATCAGTTTTAATGTATGTTAATTAGTTGTGTTAATATTATTATATATTATTAATGTAATATAATTAATATGAGCTAAAATTAATATAACAGTCTCTTACCTTTGAGTTAGTGCCTTCACTTTACAAAGTGCTGTCTTCTGTATTGGTTTTATATAAGTCACACAAGTCTGTAATATCAGGCCTGGAAGCACTCTTAACTCCATTTTACAGTCAAGAGAACTAATAATCAAGGAGATTAAGTCACTTGTCCACAGTCAGTAGGATCAAAGAAATTAGTTCTGCTAACTCATTGATCCTATTATTATTTTGAAAATGCCAAAGGGTTCTATCACTTTGTTCATTCCTAAGGTAGGTTTCATGCTGGCAGCTCCATCCCAAAGAGAAGAGGAAAAGAAGATTTGGCAGGGGCCAGGATTGCTTCTTTGTCCCCACTGTAACCCTCATTATCATCAATATTGACTGTACTGACTTATTATAAGTTAACAAAGTTTTGGCTCAGGCCACAAAATCACAGGGAGCCAAGTTTCAGTTTTATTTCCCCTCATGTCACCTTAGGAAAATTATTTTTCTTAACCGCAACTTCCTCTTCTATATAATAGGGATAAAAACTTCCCCCTTAAGGTTGCTATGAGAATTAAATAAAATGATATAGGTGGAGTGCCTGATATGATGCCTGGATGTGTAATAAATGTGGGCCTTCTTCCTCTTTTCTAGCCCTTCCTGACTTATAAGTGACAGAATGTCAGAGCTGGCAAGGGCCCCAGAGGCTATCTGGTTCCTCCTAACCACCTCCCCCGCCATCATTCTATAGATGATAGTTTATGTGGATTGATAGTGTAATGTATTTTACTTTTTATGTATGGGAAGCTTCAGTTAGCTATTTACTCTTTTTGTTCTGATGATCTGTTACATCTGTTAGATCTGTTAGATCTAACAGGGTGCAGTAGATATTACGGGTGGATCAAGAACTGGTGTGACCTTCAGGCTTAAACCCTGGTGACCATGAGTCTCTGGTAACTGCAAGTTACAAAGGCCAAGGTTGCCCACCTGTGTGTATTTAAAGATGTAACAGGCTATTCTCACGTCTGGCTTTAAGAATAATTGTTCCAATTCAGTTTCGATTCTCAGCTTCAGAAAGAGTGATTTCCAACACTGCTTAATGGCAATACGACTATAGGAATTAGGAAATGTTAAATTCATTTTGTACCTATACCATTTAAAACAGACAATAAAGATAAGTTTTACAAAGGTTTAAAAAACAACAGCAAATCAAGGCATTCGGTTTGTAAGCAGTATTTGTTTTACATTTCAGGCCATGAAGATGCTCTGGATGACTTCGGAATATATGAATTTGTTGCTTTTCCAGATGTTTCTGGTGTTTCCAGGGTTGGTTTTCCTAGTGGCTGATTAACCGAGAAGTAGAATTCTGCTTCACCAGAGGTGTAAAAAGCATTTGTTTAAGCACTGGGCAGTGTGGTCAAATGGCTGCATTACCCATTACTGCATTAAGCAGTGTTGACTTACTCCGTAATGAATGGCATTGCCAGATTTGGGAAGCTAAAGCATCTTACTTCGCCTTTATAAGTAAAGCTAACACAAATAAGGAAGTTATGCTAATTCATAAATAGTCTTTACCTGGTAATCTCAGTGAAGAGAGAACTAACTAGGTTGAAAGTCAAGAGAACTGAATAAACAAGCTGGGCGTGGTGGCTCACATCTGTATTCCTAGGGCTTTGGGAGGCTGAGATGGAAAGATCACTTGAGCCCAGGAGTTTGAGATCAGCCTGGGCAAAGACCCCATCCCAACAAATATTTAAAAATTAGCCAAGCATGGTTATGCATGCCTCTGGTCCCAGCTTCTTGGGAGACCGAGGCAGGAGGATCATTGAGCCCAGGAGTTCAAGGCTACAGTGAGCCGTGATCACACTACCGCACTCCAGCCTGGGCAGCAGAGTAAGACCCTGTCTCAAATAAATAAATACTGAATAAACAGCGGATCAGGAGACCCTAATTTAAGTCATTCTGCATCACTTGGGTGACTGCAACCCATCACTTTACTAAACTCTCTCTGTTCCTCAGTTTTCCCTTTATTGCCCCCTCATATCTTTTGACAACATTGCAAAGACAATTGATCACACCCTTGAAGATACCTCATGCTTCAGAAGGAAGTTACCATATAGGCCCAAAGTATGCAAGTATACATCTTTATTATTGCCCTAAAGGTGCATGAGATGGCAAAGGAGCTTTCATATAGTTGAAGTCATTTCAGTCCGGAAAAAAAAAAAAAAAAAAGATCTTTTAAAGTAATCAGTTTTTCTTAACAGACATGCAGAATGTTTCTGTGAGCAAATCAGATTATTAACATTTTTATAGATTTGTATAGAACCAAGTTTTCCTCTGCTTCCTTATTCTGCTATGAGAGTCCATTTGAGGAAGGGCACCATAAAAACAGATTACTTGCTTCCAGGCATTCTCATTTCCATTTGTTAAAAAGACTATTTGCCATTAGGGAATCGTGACTTCTCTTGTTCAGAGGATTCTATCAGTGTATAAGGTTCATCTAGTAAGCTTCCTCGCCACAGAGTTTATTTGAGAAATGTCATGTGAGTAATGGAGAGGGACTGATTGGATTTCATCCTCCCTAAGGGTGAGTCAGTAACAGTCACAGATGAAGCAAAGAACTACTGTGCAAAGGCTTTGCAATACCCTATTCAATCTCAGGCAGGATTGGCTCACCTTCACTTCCACAACCAAAAGACAAAAACAAATATTTGATGGATCAGTTATTTCAAACAGCTTCTCACGATGGTAGAAAGCACCACTCTGAGGTGTGGCTTCAAATTGGAGAGCAGGAAACTGAAGAGCTAAGACTTATAATTGAATTTTTGAATAAGGAGTTTCAGTTTTTTTATTTAAAATAATGCAAACATTTATTCCTAGGAATTCACTGGAAAGGAGTGAGATTTATGTAAGAAATTTTAAATCTTACCATGTGATTAATCACTACTCAATTTTGGAGTTTTACTGGGAGGACCTCAATTGGCTCAAAATATTATAGCCCTGAAGAACTTAAGCAGAGAAATAGGGGCTTTAATTACATAGTAGAAGCCCTGCTTATTTCTATCAGAAACAGAATAACTTGATTTGGAGCCATGTCCATCTTCAAAGCTGCAAGCTCCTGAGGAATCTGCTGAGGTTCTTAATTGGCCATTGCAGGTGCTTTGGGGAAGAAGTGAGAAATCAAGACCAACAACCAAAGGAGGAGGATGAGGACAGGGACATGAGGAGGAGGATCTGCATGAGAAGCCAGAATGGCAGCTATGTATACGTAGCTATGTAATGGAAGATTAGCAGCCAAATGCAATGGCCTTTAGAAAAGAAGGAAAGGTGATAATAAAACCAAGATCTCAAAACTGAACTTGAGAAGGGAAATAAATTAAATTATTAACTTTCTGAGTTTTTAAAAATCAAAATAAGCTAGGTGCCACGGTGTGCACCTGTAGTCCCAGCTGTTCAGGAAGCTGAGTTAGGAGGATCACTTGAACCCAGGAGTTCAAGACCAACCTGAGTAACATAGCGAGACCCTGACTCAAAAAAAGATAATCAAAATAATCTCTTGGCATATTGTGTGGTATGTACACAAATGGATTACTTCTGTCTCTACCAATTGCACATTTCATTGTCCATTTAGCACCTCTTTCAGGAGTTAGACAGAAAACAATTGCATTAAGTGAGCAAGTTTATTATTTAACAGCTCTAATATTAGGTTAGGTAAGTTAGTGATCATCAATAGATTGCTTTTACCGTAGCTCCTGAATACCTTCATACAACAAATATCAAGAGCTGATCTCAAGGATAGATCGTAAACCAAAATTTCCTTGACACAAAAATGACAGAAGAAATCACATATACTAAGGCTTCATGTGAGAGCTATAGCAAGTGGAATGGAAATTAGTGGTTTCTAGAAAAACAAAAAGCTAAGATGTTCCACTAAAACCTAGCAGGTCAAATTAACATGAGATAGTGAACTCTTCAGAGTTATCAAGAGCAAAGAGCCCTCGAGGTGAAGGTGTATAAATATGAAGGACTGAAAGTGGACAGAAGTAGGATTAAAATAGGAAGCATTTGGGATGGGGAGGAAAACTAGACTTCGGCTAAATAATTGGGAGGGAGTGTTTATAGGAAGAAGGAAGTTATGAAATATAAGGAATGGGAATTAATAAAACACAAATACCACTTTCAATAAAAATACCTGTTGGTTTTTACCAGCCATAAATACACTATCCTTTCCACATTCACCTAAGCATTTAGTTTTTACAGTCCATTACTACATTTAAACCAAAACATTTTCCTTTGAGTGTTCCACATTCCTTGGTACTGTCTTTACTTATTTGCAATATGATGAGGGATTTGGGCTGTATATTGTTCTTTTCTTTTAAGCCACCCTTGCGCACATAATTGGCAAATAGTGTCAAAAGGGTAACTGAGGTATAGAAAAGATAATGATATATGCTATCTGATTCTAAGATATCCTGATATCTTCTCTTTTGCTATTTTTTCTTTCTATAATATTTCCTTTACAGTACTGCCAGCTTTCTTCTTAAATGAAGAAAAAATCCATAGCTTTGTCAAGCTATCCTTCTTCTGACCTTATAGCTATGCTGCTGCACAAACTGCCATAGGGTAAGTGCAGAAAAGTGTAGCAAGGAGGAAGTCAACTTTCTAGGGAAGATAAATAGTTCTAATTCTCTAATCATCACTACTGCCAGTTGTTTTCAACTATGCAACATAGTGGAAAAACTATTTACTAGTCTTGAGATAATTTATTTTTAATGTATCACATTTTCTAGATCCCAAGCAGGTCTGTTCCAGCCTCTGATTGTGTATCGGGGCAAGATTTGCACAGTACAGTGTATGAAGTTATTCAGCACATCCCTGCCCAGCAGCAAGACCATCCAGAGTAAGTACGAATCTGCATTTGATGGTGCTATGGAGAGGCTAAGCATTTAGCTTTTGCTTTCCCCAGAACTGATTAAAAGGCACAGAAGAAAAATACCAAAACAAGAAATTATAGCTTCTGTACATTTGAACACACTTCCCCACCTGAGCATAATTTTGAGAAACAAAACAGGCAAACACACAAATATCTTCGAGGGCCATGCACTTGGGCCAGTGGACTAGATACAAAACTCTAGAATCAACTTTCTCTTGTGTACATTAGTTTCTCACAATATTTCCCCAAGGAATCCACATCTGGGTATGAAAGGAATGTTCAGGCTAATTCTGTAGCCATCTTAATGATTACTTAGTGATTTTCCAGTGGCTATGGAAGTTTTATGGATGATTTGTCACTAAAAATAGGACCAGTAAAATAAAAGCCTACAGAGGGTCCACAGCACAGTCAGCACCAATGCCAATCCTCTTATTCAAAGTAGCCTATTCCCAATTGAGTGGAACCCCATTGAGGACTGGCCTCTCACCCATAGAGGACAAAACCTGTACTGAGGACAAAGCTGGGAACCTATTTATCCAGTTAAGCTCAAGGCTGTCACTAAGAAGTCTCCCTTTCCTCCATGCCGTGGAGAAATAAAGCCTACAATCTTTTGAAATAATAAAATGAACTTCTCTTTTTTGTGGGCTATAGCTGCCTGCAGTCATAACTGCCACAGATCATCTTCCATCATTTCTTTGTCACTTATTGACTTTGAAAAGAACATCAATAACCACATACAGAAACTTGCCCTCTGGCAAAATAAACAGTTTCAGCAAAGTAATTCATGCACACTTCTGGGTAAATACCAAAAATAACAGCTAGGAATGAACAAATCCAGGAAAAATCATCTTATGGTGAGGAAACCTAGTGCTGGGGGGACTGTGCGTCATTTAAGGACTAAATAAGTGGCAAGATACTTCAGAGAACCTCATCAGAGAAAATTTACCTAGAGTCACATAAATAAGGAACAGACTGTTGGAGTTAGGAACTTCTAGTTTGAAAAAAAAATGTTGTAAAGCATTGCATTATCAATCTAGTAGAACACAAGAGTAGGATATTATTACATGATATTTTAAGAATAAAAACTCTAAAATGATACCTAATTCTCTTTACTGTCTATAATAGAAAACTAGGGGAAGTTTGTTTGCTGTTAAATATAAGGCATTGAAAGAATTTTGAGATTATGTCTCCTTTCTAAGATTTAATCTAATTAAAATTTCTATCCTATTTAAGTTCATTTGTTTTTCTATGTATCCTTTCTTCTAACTATCAATTTTTCACATTAGAATGTAAACAAACCAAATGACAACTTGGGGTTTATCTTTTAAGGTTATTAAGAACGAAATAAATTTTAAGTCAAAATTGTGAATATGGCAGCTACAATTTAAGAACACAAAATAAACTGATTGGGTTGTTTTGCGTGTCAAAAAACTGATTCTTAAAAAAAAAACACCCTTTGAAACTAGATGACTTTTAGACACTAGCAACATCTTTTGACTTTCTTAAGAATATAAAAGTTTATTTCATAAATAAGATTTGAGAATTGAAAACAAAGCAGAAATGTTCTTTTTCAGGCATTCAAAACTGCTATTTAAAAAGTATTCAAAACCGCTATTGGGACATGGTCCTCCAAAAGGCAGTCATCTTCAAAACCCCAGCTCATGCTACCAGCCCAAACTGAGTGACATCTCCACCTCCCACAGCCTCTCTCTTCTCACCTTCTTCTTCTGTCTTCTCAATCTTTTTTGTGTTTGTCAGTTCATCTATGTAGATCTTTGTCTTCCAGTGGCTCTCTCTTCTTTTACCTTCATCCTTTGAATCCCTCATTTTCTGAGTCTACCCTTCTCTTTTCCTCTCCTTCTCCATAACTGTCTCCCTTATCCGTAATATCCTTCTTAAAATTTTCCTCCTCTGTCTGTCTTCCAGCATTATCTAAACGGGGAGCCAATATTTTCTAAAGTGTTATTTTATTTGAATTCAGATTTATGTTACTAATTCTAAATTTTTTTAATAAATAAGTGAAATGCTTCCTTTTTCTTTATCAGAAACTATTTTGCACTTATTTTACTTATAATCACTTCACAAACATTTCCAGGACATTTACTATGCGCTAGAGCAAGACGTTAAATAAGACTCGATCTTTTAAAGATTTCCTAGTATAGTGGGCTGCTGTTTACTTATTTTAACTAAAGATTAGTGATTCTTAGTAAAATAAATATTTCTCAGTAGAATAAATGCCACCTATAGATGCAGAGAGCATTTTTCTTTCCTGATTATCTGTGGTTTTATTCTCCTCTAGGTCCAATTAAATTCAAAGATCAACTTCATGAGTAATGCATTATTATAGGTGGTTGGTGACTCTCTCCCATCTATTCCCAACTTGAATGTGCCAGCTCTGGGGAAAGAATCCTAACTTCTCTGCTTTCTTTTATTTGGCAGTCACTTCTGAGTAGGAAAGACAGCCAAACAATTTTATTCTTTGGCTCTTAGACTGTTGTAAAATAACAGTGTTATTTTCTTTACTTCATGTGTCTATTACCTAATTGGACTGCTGTTTAACAAACTGGTAAATTGGTTTGTGTTCATATTCTAGTACTCAGCCCAATTATTTATTTAGTGAACTTATGGCTGGATGTATTTCAATGTTGTCTATTGACCTCATTAAATGCTCTTGGTAGGGTTTATATTGAACCCAAGACTGACGTTAGTATATTGAAAACAGGACTTTCAAGTTAAGTAAACCTTTAGTTTCGAAAGTAAATTATCTACAAAATTTAATAATTGCTGACTCTTATATTTATTTGTTGATAAATGTAATTTTCTTGAGCTAGCTCCAAACATTCTTCTAATCTGTAGCCCTGGAAAGCAATAAAAGAATTTAAAGTTCTTTTACCTGCAGACCTGAAAAATCTATAGAACTGTTTACATATTTTGTATATCTCTTCACTAGGTGAACTTTCATGGGCTAAACAGTACATTCGAGTGAAATTCTGAAGAAACATTTTAAGGAAAAACAGTGGAAAAGTATATTAATCTGGAATCAGTGAAGAAACCAAGACCAACACCTCTTACTCATTATTCCTTTACATGCAGAATAGAGGCATTTATGCAAATTGAACTGCAGGTTTTTCAGCATATACACAATGTCTTGTGCAACAGAAAAACATGTTGGGGAAATATTCCTCAGTGGAGAGTCGTTCTCATGCTGACGGGGAGAACGAAAGTGACAGGGGTTTCCTCATAAGTTTTGTATGAAATATCTCTACAAACCTCAATTAGTTCTACTCTACACTTTCACTATCATCAACACTGAGACTATCCTGTCTCACCTACAAATGTGGAAACTTTACATTGTTCGATTTTTCAGCAGACTTTGTTTTATTAAATTTTTATTAGTGTTAAGAATGCTAAATTTATGTTTCAATTTTATTTCCAAATTTCTATCTTGTTATTTGTACAACAAAGTAATAAGGATGGTTGTCACAAAAACAAAACTATGCCTTCTCTTTTTTTTCAATCACCAGTAGTATTTTTGAGAAGACTTGTGAACACTTAAGGAAATGACTATTAAAGTCTTATTTTTATTTTTTTCAAGGAAAGATGGATTCAAATAAATTATTCTGTTTTTGCTTTTATGTGGTCTTAATTCTTTGTCTTGTAGAGTAAAAATATTACATAAAAATCAGATTGTAGACGTTGGTTTTTTAATCCTTATTTCCCAATGTGCAATCAAGTCTAGATTATAGGGAATTATAAAAATAAAGATCTTGCTCTCTCATGGCCTATTATTTTAAATAGAAGAAAAGAAATCTTAAAAATAGAATTTCTTTTCTAAAAGTTTCAAGCAAGCCAATGTAGGTACATTGCCCTTCCTGCATTTTCACAGAAGCACATGGTGAAAAGAAAATTAAGACTTTAGTCCCATGACTCCTTTCTGGTCCTCTCTCTCTACTACCCTTATATATTGTTCTGTTGGAAAAGTCCATCAGTTCTACCACAAGTATTTTCTTCTACATTTAGCAAAAAAACTACTGTATCTGATTAGAAAAGAAATTCATGCCCCTTGTAAAAATATATGTGTACTTGGAAATGCAGAAGACTCACCATAAAACAATTAAAATCACTTGTAATCTTACTCCTCTGTTAGCATTTCCCCAGATTAGTTATGTACATATTTATTCATACTCCTTCCAATTCCAGAAAAGATTCATGGTAGCTCATATAAATGCATAATATCACAAGATAAAATATGCCCAAAAAGTAAAGTTGATAAGGAAAACAGGATGAAAGAACAATGAGAGGCAAAGCAAAAGCAGAAAGAAATTAAGAACCAGTGTGATGAAGTCCCCTTCATCTGTGAGTATTGTTTCACACGGCCAAGATCATATGCCATATACAGGTATATACCTAAGAGTGGTTTCTAAGCTGAATGCAATTTGTAAGTAGCAGCGCCAAAAAAAAGGTTGCAATCCAATTGCAGGGCCAGAAGAAAGTAAGTCAGTAAGTAAGCCATCCACCCCAGCTCCATCCACCTCTCCCTTTCTTTCTCAGTCTTGTGCCCCCCTCCTTCCTTGGGGGTGTTCTCTTTGCTAATGCATCTCTTATTTGGAGGCCAGACACTAACTACAATGAACTGCAGCTACATCTCTGTCTTCCCCTTCCTAAACCCAACTCTGAAACACTTTAATCCACAGACAATCTTCAACAGCCCTTTCTGAAAAGATAATAATACACTCACATGGTTCACAAATCAAAACTCTATTTTAAAAAAACACGCACTGAGGTAACTGTGTTTGTTAGTTTTGGGGTTTGGTTTGGCTATTTTGTGTATACCTCCAGAGTTTCTCACCATAAACCAAAGAAAATACAAATATATATTCTTATTTTCTCAAACTCATTTTTCAATTACTTGTAATTCCTCTCATTTCTCTATCTCTCTCGCACACACAAAAATACATGGACTCCCTTAGCGCATGGTTCCACTCAAAGTGGCAAGGAATTGCTGAAAGCAGAAATGTGAAAGGATCTAGAATCCAATTAACTTTTGCTGTCATTGGTGTGTAACACCGGATGACTCAATGCTTTTTTAGTAAATGAGGATGAAAGTTTCATAAATTAATCAAGGTTTCCAAGGGAAGTGATGAACCAAAACCCAGATGTTCACCTAATTAACAAATTAATCTTTAAAAGCCAGCCTAAAGTTCTTTTCTCATTACTAAACAGAATCGTAGCTAGTGTTAGTTTTTAACTTTATATTACCACTTCTAACTTGGAATAGAATCAAATTCTTGACACTTATTATTTTTAAAGAGTATATTCTACTGATAGACTTTTATGCAAAAAATTAAAATACCTATTAAAATATAGTTTTCCTTGGTTTTCTGATGTGTACTTCCATGTTAATAAGACAATTTCAGTTAAACTGCAATATAGTCTCAGACATCAAGGTCCCCATGATCCTTCAATTGCACTAGAGCATGTACATGAAAAGGTGTTCTCAAAATAATAAAAATTGAGTGACAACACATTACTTAGCATATAGGTGGCTATTTCCCTATATTTTACTTAAACTTATTTTTTAAAAGTTCTTATTTTCTGCTTCTACATTGCTATATATAAGCATGTATATTCCTATATCATTCTTACATAGTCCTCTAAAGTTTGTGTTCAAATATACATTAATATAGATCTTTTAGTTTCACAAAGCAGTAGGAAAGCAAAACTATCTTCCTCATCGACACAGAAATCAGACACAGCATTTGGATTTAACAGTGTTACTCCCCTTCCTTCTCATCTCCTAGATACACTGTTTATCGTGATTACCATATTAAGCTTGAAGTTTATTCAACTTTCACATCCATGACTTCTTTTGATCTTCACAAGAACCCTGTGAGCTAGAACCAGTATACCCACTTTACAGATGGAGAAACCAAAACTCTGGGAGTTGAACGACTTTCCTAAAGTCACCAAACCAATGAATGGCAGAGCTGATTCTTGAACTACATCTCTGGCTCCAAGTCCAAGGTCTATTCCAATGCACCAATAATTTCTCTGGGCATGGCATCCTGGAAAGGAGCAAACACAACTGTGTCTTGTCAGCCTTACCTTGGGAACTTCATTAGTTTCAAGTATTATTGAGCTCCCAGCAGAGTTTATTTACTTGTTTGTTGTTTCTTGGCCAAGAATTTTCTCATTTGAATATGCTCTTGGGGAAGATGACAGCTCAACTGCTTGCCATCAATGGGGCATAAAATGGGAGAATGTTTTCACACTTGGGAAAATCTCCAGCAGAATCCCACCTTAGGTTTATGACAGAGGCTCTCTGAGCCTCTGAGTCTTTGGGGATCAATGAGCCTCATCACATTCATCCCAGCACACACACTTTAGAACACAGGCAATACATGGTTTTTGAATTGTACTGAGCTGAATTGCCTGCCCTCTTTATATTTAATAAAGACACCATCTATAGGAGGCAAATAAATTACTGTATTTTCAATAACCAAGTTTCTTTTATCTCCCAGAGGCACTTAAATAACTTTGGGAGCTATTTTTCCTTGCATTTCACTGAAACTCTACCAAAATGCTTTGTCCTTCAGAAACTAGAGAGTCACAGGGTGGGGTTACATAAAATTTGATTCTCATTATGTGTAAAATAATTCATATTTTCTGACTCACAGTTCACAGATAACTAGACATTTTACAGAGGAGGAAACTGACTCAGACTTTCAGGCCCTCAGTTGCCTCATCAAAACATGAAGAGGCTGAACTAGGCAACCTTCACCCTGCTTTGATTTTCTCAAAAGTGACATTCTCCAGGCAGGTCAGGTCCTCTGCAATGCTCTCATTACACCTGTATCGAAATCCTTATCATGCTACTATAATTATACTGTGGACCAAGCATGTAAAGAGCTAATTATAATACTGTGTTCTAAATGCAATAGTAGAAGTGTGTAAAAATGCAGAGACGCCACAGAAGAAGGAGTGATTAATTCCTTTTGGCAGCATCCAATAGATTTCTTACAGCATATTGGGTTTTGGTGGGCAAAAGGAACACACCAACTTTAGAGGAAAGGGCATTCCAGGAGCTAACATTAAGTAAGATTTATAATATATGAGGAACGAGTATGACAAGCATAGTCATGCAAAACAAAAAACATGTGAATGATCCAGGAGGGTATACTTAGTAAAATTATAAAACATGCCCAGTCCTTGAGAAATTTAAATCTCATTAGAAATTTCAGTTATGTTTAATAAACTCTTGTTAACTATATTTCATGTGCCATAAGATAGAGAAGAACTAAATATGACTCAGTCTTTATATTCTAAGAGCTTGCAGTCTAGTCAAAGAAAGAGATACAATAAACTAAATAATACTAGTAGATAGTAAATGCAACATGGTACACCATTAAGAAAGAACACAAAGCATACTATGGAAGCTTAGATGAGGGCATCAAATTGAGTCTAGGGTATTCAAAGAAGGCTTCCTGGAGGAAGCTGAGCTGAATTTCAAAGGACAAGAAGGAGTTAGCCAAGTGAAGAAATGTGAGGAAAGCATTTCAGGCAGAGAGAACTGCTTGGGCAAAGGCCTAGAGGCAAGAAACAGCCTGGTCTATGTGAAGAACTGTAAGCAGTGCAGTAATAATAAGAGAATAAGAGAGGGAATGGTCAAGGCAAGTGCTGATGACAGAAGAAGCTAGTATACTGTACTTCCCTGTTACACTCATCACGAGGGTAATCATTTGCTTAGTGTCTATCTTCCTTGCTAGACTGTAAGCTCCCAAAGTCAGGGAAGGCAGGGAACAACATCTGCCTATATTCCCAATGACTATCATATCTCAGCAATCAAGAAATATTTGAGGATAAAATGAATGAATGAGATTACATGGATAAGGGTCAGATCATGCATGAACCTGAGTGTTCAGTTAAGAAACTTGGATTTATTCTGTAAGTAATGAGACTCAGACCAGGTGAGCAATCACAACAGATTTCTGTTTTGGATGGATCACTCTACATAAACTTGGAAATGGATTTTATAGGACAAAGCTGAGACTAGATAAATAATTAGGGAAGATATTACTATTATCAAGATGAGGATGAAGCACTTGATGGACTATAGGGTGGAAGTCTTAGAGATAAAACTTATAGGGACCCAGTTATCAGATGTGGGACACCAAATACAGGTAAGAGTCATAAATAATGCCTGTGTTTCTGTGTTGAGAGCTTGATGATGCCATCACACAAGATGGGAAGTGCATGTGAAGCAACAGGTTTAAAAGGGGGGAAATGATGAGTTGAGAACTAGGTAAGGTTAGGATTAGTTTAAGATTCCAAACAGAAATATCCGATAGACAGTTTTATATCCAAGAGGGACATTCAAGGAGAGGTCTGGGTTTAAGAAGTAAATTTGGACCATATATCACCATGCCTTTGAAAGAGAATAACAAAAAACTCAGATTAAATGGACTTAAAGAATAATTTATTATCTCAAATGACAGGAAGTTCAAAAGCCAGGTAAATTCCCAGGATTGGTTAATGTAATGACTCAACAATGTCATCAAGAACTCAAGTTCTTTTTCATCTTCTACTCTTCCCTCATAGTTACAGGATGGATGTAGCAATTCCAGAAGTCATATAAACATGCCGCACCATCCAGAAAATGGAAAAAGCCACTTTGTGTGCTACTTCCTTGGGTGTGAGGAAACCTTTCCCAGAAGTCTCTACTAGCATTCCAGTAGGGTTTCCTTGGCCATACATGTTACATGCCCTTCCCTAAAGGAATTATTAGCAAGAGGAGTGGGATTACCTTGATTAAAACAATACTCAGAATTTACTTCCGTGGACATGGTAGGGAAGACAACACCTTCAGAAGCATGTGAGTGGGTGGAAAAACAATGAATATCTGATTAAAATTGAGTTTTGTATGGAAATGAGGAACAGGTAGAAATGGATGTCAAAAAGATGAGACAGAAAGCAAATAAAGGGGGAAACACCCTTGGAAACACCAACTTCAGGAGATGCCATCACCATTATGGAGATGCCGGGAAAGGTTAAGAAATAGCAGTTAAGGAGGCAAAAAGTGAACTTGGAAATCAACTTTAAAGAGAAAAATTGAACATGAATTTTATCACTGTATGTCCATAAATATCTTTTAAAAAGGGTGGGTGACCCTCTATATTCTGGTTCCAGATCAGGAAGTTTCTTGTGTTTACAATGACCATCTAAAACCATTTCTTAGATAGTTCTATTTTAGTGAAATCTTACTAGGTTAATTAACATATATTTACTGAAATAATTCAATGAAATTTAATTTTTAACTATATGATTTTGCATATTAAGAAATCTACCAACTGCAAGTCTTAATTCTTAATTTCAAACAAACACTTAGTAGTAGAGGCTGACCTGCCAGGCAGTCATAATTAGATGCTAATAGATAAATACATTTGCTTGATTTCATTTGTGTCTAACAACTTCTGACCTTGACCTAGTTTCTCATGCCATCAAGGAAAATCCCCACTGTTCCAACACACACACTTAAAATACATCTATTTCAAACCTTCTGCTTTCAAAAGTGTCCCAGCTTAAACAATAGATTATATCATGACCATACATGGAAAGCTCTAATTTGCCTCCTTGTCCATCTGGAATATTCCTGCTTGCTCTTCAAGACTATCCGTGCTGATGTCATATCTACTGTGCAGCCTCCCCAGAAGTGCCCAAGATTCTTTCATGATCCTGTAATGCTGCCTACAAAATTCTGCTGGAGCCCTGGACACACATCTACTTTCCCCTATTAGATGGGGAAGATAAAACAATTTAAAATAAGTGAGATATCATTTAGTAACTAGGTTACACACATAGAAATGATATTAGCAAACTAGTACTGTGTATGTAGTGTTGATGCGGTAGTGTTGAGGTAAAACCAAACACTATCTGTGCCCAGTCCCAGTCTAATCTGTAGTATGAGAGAGAAGGACCAAATAAACTCTAGGATTCCTTTCAGTTTTATGGCCCATGCTTTTATTAATTTACCATAAATATCGGTATCTTCTTGGCAGACAGATATTATAAAGTCCACATCTTTTCACCAAGCTGTTGCCTTTGCTTAAATAACTGAACCAAGAAGTAGACATAAAAGAAAATTTGTTTCCTCATTTGAGAACTCAGCATGGCATCTCACTTGTACTCTTATCATTTTTATGCAGCACCACTTAGTGTAGGCTCTATCAAGTAATTACACACAGTGTAATAGTTGCCAAATACCTATAATGTCAATAAAATGTCCAAACTTTTTCCAGTAGTGTTTTTAGGTTTTCTTGTTTTCAAATGATCTGTTCAAAGAAAAGGAACAAGAAATCAGAGTACCTAACAGCAGGGGGCCAGTTAAATACTAGTAAAACTAACAGTTAGGATATTGTAGCATTACAAAGAATGAGATAAATCTAAATGTAATAACATGGAGAAAAGTTCTGCATATCTTATTAGATGAAAAACAATATGTCACAGGTCATTTTTTGGTATGATTCATATGTGATATAATCATATGAATCAATACTAATTCTATGTATTAGTGTATATACAGAAAATATTTAGTAGCAATCTCTGAGAAGAAGAAAGGAATAGCAGGTGGAAAGGCTTAATTTTTTTCTTTTTTATTTTACAGATATTTGTACTGCTTCATAGATTTTTTACAATAATAAAATAAAGCACAAAAAACTACTTAAGGAGAACTTAACATTCTAAATCACACATTTTAATTGAAATTCCATTTGTGCAAAATTGTTCTGTAATTACTCAGGTATGTAGACCACTTATCTCTTCCCTTTCATTTACCCTCATTTTCTTTCTTTGAATTTTTCTTGGCCCTTTCTTCCTGATTTTCCTTTTTTTGTTCTGATTTCATTTCTCCTTGTTGTATTCCATATTTTCCTGCCTTTAATTTCCTTTCTCCTTTCCCCTAAACTGAATCCCTGAAAGGTAAAAATCCGGAAGTGTAAACAGGTGATTTTCGTGTTGGGTGGTGACTCTAATCACGGCCCAGGGCTCTCCAAATACAGGAATCTGAACTGGGTGCTCTGACCACCTGAGAGGAACTGCGGCCAAGACGGAAGGACATCAAGATTCAGAGACTGACTGTAGAGATTTAAAACAAAACTCTATCACTAAAATCCAGAATTTACTTTTTCATTAAAATGTATAACAGTTTGGCTTTAATGTTGTGGCCATTTCACCTGCTGTCCATCAGGAAAAAGAGTGAATCCTGGAATAAAGGAGCCTCCATAACTAAGAGAGGACTGGGCTAATGTTACCATGGCAACTGCCAGGTTAATCAGAACAGTTGGTGAAAGATACGAAGTATTTGGCGGGTCTTGCTTCTTATGGCTAAAAGTCTACGTCATTGGATTGAATTGAGATTGAATTGAATTGAAACACATTGAATTGGAAAGCAAAAGACTACCCTGAGGCAGAGGCTTTTCAAGGATTCACTTAATTAATTTATTGTTGCAATTTTGTGGGCAATATATGTCAAACTCTGCCAGATGTCTAAAATATATTCTACCTTAGCCTTCAGAATAATGCTATGATGCATTTTCCCTACTTTGTTGATGAAGAAACTGATGTTGAGAGACGTTAGGAAACCCGTCCAATGTCATTAACTAATGAGTAAATGTCTGTATCACTCTCTGCCTTCTCCCAGACAACTTCAGCAAGGGCTGCTTTGTGGAATCACACTGGAGTCTTCATGAAGCTGTGTGTTTACTTATAAAGTTCCTAGCTAAAGCTTCCAAGCTCTCTGGAGTTGCAGAACATCAGCTACTCAATTGTTCAGTGTTCAGGTGGCTTCCACTTTACATAAGAATGCTAGGAAAATAATTCCATTTTTTCAGAATTAATAAGCTAGAATCAAAATGAGTATGTCTCTCTTAATACATATTTAATGTTATTCATATATATTTATTTATATGTAGAAACATCTGCATACATATTTATATATTATCAGGCAATGTTTACGTTGCAGTAAGGTCGACTGCAAACTTCTTTTAACTGCAGAGAGAGAAAGATGAGGTTGTATTCTTTACATTTCTAGAATGGGGTACCTATAATTTCACTTCCTATCTCTAATATCATGCTGCTCCACAGCAGTGAGACCTTTATTTATACAGAAACAAAAACGCCTAGATCAAGGAGGGGTGTGTGTGTGTGTGTGTGTGTGTGTGTGTGTGTGTATTGTAGCTCTGAAAGGTTTCTGAAGCAATGGCTACTTGTTTTAACTAAAGTAAACCTGTTTTAACAGGTAGATTCAATTCTCATGTCCTCTGCATCTAATGCATTTTTATTGTGAGTGGCAAGCTGTAAACATTAGCTTTTTAAATCTATCTTTGAAAAGGCACAAACATGTATGCTCCCATTGCTTCCCTCCCCTTCCTGTCTCCCAGCCGTAGATAATGACTGAACACATGTTCTACTGTCATCGCTGAAGGAGGTTACAGAGGGAAAGCTAAGTTAAGACAGGTAGTTCTTAATGTAAGTTTCATCTACACCAGCAGGGGCCATTTGGTCTTCCAAGAAAAGTTGGCTCCCTGCAAGCCTGCTTGCTTCTCAGTCATTGGACTATTGAAATCTAGAAATGTTGGGTAAGAAGTCATCAAAGCAACTCCTAAGGATTGATGGTAAAAACAGTGGACAGTGGTGACATTCAAAACCATCCCTACAAGGACACATCAGTCTGACATTTAAATAGTTTGTTTAAAATACAATTTTCACACTGCAAAGCTAGAAAGTCACTGTACAACTTATCAAGTTAAGTATGTCACATACATTCATATCCAGAGTTTCACAGTGCTAAGTTTTATGATCAGATCATGAGAGTTCTTTGCCTTTCTGACTTATGACCTATATGTTTCCTTCTTTAAAAAAAGAAAGTTTTACAAGCAGAAGAATGAAAGGTGGCAAAGTTTACTATAAGACAACTGGTATTGCAAGGAATTTGCAAATGACATGGTGAAGTATACTCCACAGCCTAGAACAGGGGTTCCCAAACCCTGGGCCACGCACCAGTGTGTTAGGAACTGGGCTGCACAGGAGGAGGTGAGCAGCAGGCCAGTGAGTAAAGCTCCATCTGTATTTACAGCTGCTCCCCATCACTGGCATTACCACCTGAGCTCTGCCTCCTGTCATATCAGTGGCAGCATTAGCTTCTCATAGGAGCAGGAACCCTATTGTGAACTGCGCATGCGAGGGATCTAGGTTGCACACGCCTTATGAGAATCTAATGCCTGATGACCTGTCACTGTCTCTCATCACTCGCAGATGGGACCGTGTAGTTGCAGGAAAGCAAGCTCAGGACTCCTACTGATTCTACATTATGAGTTGTAGAATAATTTCATTATATATTACAACATAATGATAATAGAAATAAAATGCACAATAAATGTAATGCACTTGAATCATCCTGAAATTACCCCACCCCAACCCTGCCACCCCCCACTCCCCGGTTTGTGGAAAAATTGTCTTCCATGAAACCGGTCCCTGGTGCCAAAAAGGTTGGGGACCACTGGCATAGAGGATAAGATAAATTCCAATAAGCTTACATTGTTACAGAATTGCAAGTACAACAGACCATTAAGACTAAAAGCATAAGTTTAGAATGGGTGACCAATTTGATTTATATATAAGGTTAAAGACGGAAAGGACTGTTTTTCTAGAACTGTTTATAGTTTATCTGCTATGAAAGAGGGTGGCTGGGATGTCCATTCGAGATCCCTTCCAACAGAGAATTACAAACATGGTTACATTCCTTAATCCTTTAGTGCCATCTATGGTCCCAATTTAGAAAGTGTCAGTTTAAAACAAATTCTAGATACTGTGACGTCTCCTAGTTTAAAATTAGCATATTAATCTCTCAATTACATTTCTTTTGGGTTTGACTAAATGAACTGGATATCTTTCTGAAGGGCAATTTGGCAATATGTATTATGAGATTTAAAAATGTTTAAACTCCTTAACTCAGTGACTCCATGTCTAAGAAATATCAAGAGAGAAAGATACATGTATAAGTATATTCATTACAATATTATTTTTAAAAACTTAATGTGCAAATGATTATAATACATCTATATGATGGAATATGATGCATCCATTTTTCAAAATGTGTCAAAGGAAAAAAAATCACCTTCAGTTGCAATCTCTATAATTTTTCTCCTTAAAGAAAGATTTCAAGTCTTTCATAAACTGTCGAAAATCTGAAGAGATCTATAATGCTACACCATGCTACATCACACCAAAATACAATCCATAACCCACAAAACTAAACAGCTAGCTATGTGCCTAGCAAATAGAATTTACAAATATGCTAGAAGATAGTGTTAAATTTTGCATATACACCATTCAAGATAAGTGATATAAAATCTTTACTTTGCAGAGAAAACAGAAGTTACCAGATTGAAACTCCTTCATCTTTTTGAAATAAAACATACTTACCTCCCCTGTCTATCCTGGTCTGCATCTCTCTGACTACCAGAGAGGGGAATAATCTCTCCACCTCTGTTCTGGATTTTACCCCATTACCCACTTCAAGAACTTTACACCATTCATCTTCTCTTTTCTTCTCCATGTGTATTCAAACTTTTCTCTCAATTGAATGTTTTACACCAACTTTAAAACATACTCAAGTGAATGTTATTTAAAACAAAAAATGAAAAGAATTTCTCACTCAAATCCATGTCCTCCACCTCCTCACTTCTAGCAACTGTAGTACTATTTCTATCACTGACTTCACAGTCATTCTTGATTTTCTTTTTGTGCTATTGCAATTTTCACACCTCCTGCTCAATCCTAAACCTACTTCAGTCTGGCACATAACGCCATTACAGAGTGAAATAGCCCTCTGTAAAGTCACTAATGACTTCTCTGTTGCTAAATTCATGGATTTTTTCAGTAGTCATTGTACTGTTTCAGCAGTAGTCAACATTCTTGATCAATGCCTCTTTCCTGAAACACGCACTACCCTTGGTCTTCCCCTTTTCTTCAGCTACTTCTGAGTCTTCTTTGTTGTTCATTCTCCTCTTCTTGACCATTAAATGTCACAGCACAGTTTTTGGCATCCTTCTCACTCTATAATCTCCCCTTAGGCAATTTCTTCATAGTTATGGTTTCAATCACCACTTACATGCAAATAATTTACAAACTAATTTCTAGCCCTATGCTTTTCTCTGAATTCCAGGAACACACACACACACACACACACACACACACACACATGCACACACACACACAAGCAAAAAGTGGCCAAGTGACACCACTTCTCTAAGGAATCTCAATCTCTACTTGACCAAAGCATAATTTATAGCTTTTTCTTCCAAATTTACTCTCTTTCGGTGCTCTCTTTAGTCCTATAAATGGCCCTACAACCTTTCTAGTCATGCAAACCAAATCCCGAAAGTCATCCTGGGTACCCCCATCTCTACCATGCGTGTGTAATCCATTCCCAGGCTCTGTGGATTTTATTTCTTACCTCTTCAATCCATCTCTCCATCTCCACCATTATATTGATCCAGGTCACCATTATCTCTTGTCTGATGCAACAGTCTTATTACTTTTAATAGTCTTAATGCTTTTATTTCTTCTTCCTCAATCTTATTTATTTGCTTTCTTTTCTAAATGTACTAGCTAGAACTTCTAGCACAATTTTGAGTAGGAGTAAAGAAAGAGAACATCTTTGCCTGGTTCCTTATCTTAAGGCGAAAACATTCATTTTCTCACCATTAAATATGATGTTGGCTGTAGTTTTTTTGTAGGTGCTCTTCACCAAACAGAGAAATTTCTCCTCTATTCCTAGTTTGCTAAAAGCTTTTTATTATAAATGGGTGTAGGATTTTGCCAAATGCTTTTGCTGTATCAATCAATAGGATTATATAATGTTTCTTCTTTAGCCTGTTGGTAGAATGGATTGCAATAATTAATTTTCAAATGCTGAAACTGCCTTTCATATTCAGAATAAATCCCAGTTGGTTATTGTGTTAGTCTGTTCTCACACTGCTATAAAGAAATACCCAAGACTGGATAATTTATAAAGGGAAGAGATTTAATTAACTCACAGTTCCACATGGCTGAGGAGGCCTCAAGCAACTTACAATCATGGCGGAAGGCAAAGGGGAAGCAAGGACCTTCTTCACATGGTGGCAGGAGAGAGAAGTGCTATCAAGAGCAGGGAAAACTGCCTTATAAAGCCATCAGATCTCATGAGAATTCACTCACTATCATAAGAACAGTATAGGGGAAATCGCCCCCATGATCCAATCACTTGCCACCAGGTCTCTCCCTAAACACCTGGGGATTACAATTCAAGGTGAGATTTGGGTGGGGACACAAAACCTAACAATATAATTCCACCCCCAGCTCCTCCCAAATCTTGTGTCCTTATATTTCAAAACCAATCATGCCTTCCTAGCAGTCCCCTAAAGTCTTAACTCATTTCAGCATTGACTCAAAAGTTGAAGACCAAAGTCTCATCTGAGACAAAGCAAATCCCTTCTGCCTGGGATCCTTTAAAATCAAAAGCAAGTTAGTCACTTCCAAGATACAATGAGGGTACAGGCATTGGATAAATGCTCTCATTCCAAATGGAAGAAATTGGCCAAAACAAAGGGGCTACATACAGGTCCCATGCAAGTCAGAAATCCAACAAGGCAGTCATTAAATCTTAAAGCTCCAAAATAATCTCCTTTGATTTCATATCTCATATCCAGGTCATGCTGACACAAGAGGTAGGATCCCACAGCCTTGGGCAGCTCCAGCCTTGTGGTTTTGCATGGTATAGCACCCCCTGGCTGCTTTTTCAGGCATATGGTGCAAATTGTTGGCGGATCTACCATTCTGGGGTCTGGAGAATGGTGGCCCTCTTCTCACAGCTCCACTAGGCAGCGCACCAGTGGGGACTCTGTGTGGGAGCTCCAACCCCACATTTCTCTCCCATACTGCCTTAGCAGAGATTATCCATGAGGTCCCCACCCCTGCAGAAGACTTCTGCCTATACATCCAGATGTTTCCATACATTCTCTGACATCTAGGCAGAGGTTCCCAAACCTTAATTCTTGTGTTCTGCACACCTGCAGGCCCAACACCACATGGAAGCTGCCAAGGCATGGTGTTTGCACTGCCTGAAACAATGGCCTGGGCTGTATGTTGGTCTCTTTTAGCCATGGGTGGGATGCAGGACACCATGTGCTGAGGCTGCCCAGAGCAGCAGCAGCCCTGGCCCAGCCTAGGGAACCATTTTTCTCTCCTAGGCCTCCAGGTCTATGATGGGAGAAGTTGCCCTGAAGACCTTTGACATGCCCTGGAGACATTTTCTCCATTGTCTTGGTGATTAACTCCTCATTACTTATGCAAATTTCTGCAGCAAGCTTGAATTTCTCCTGAGAAAATGGATTTTTCTTTTCTTTTCTTTTTTTTTTTTTTTTTAGATGGAGTCTCTCTCTGTCGCCCAGTCTGGAGTGCAATGGCATGATCTCGGCTCACTGCAACCTCTGCCTCCTGGGTTCAAGCAATTCTCCTGCCTCAGCCTCCCAAGTAGCTGGGACTACAGGTGCCTGCCACCACTCCAAGCTAATTTTTGTACTTTTAGTAGAGATAGGGTTTCACCTTGTTGGTCAGGCTGGTCTTGAACTCCTGACCTTAAGTGACTCAACCACAGCGGCCATCCACACATCCATCCACTTAAGGATGGATGACCTTAAGTGATCCATCCCACAGTGCTGGGATTACAGCCATGAGCCACCACACCCAGTGGGTTTTTCTATTCTATTACATCATCAGGCTGCAAACTATCCAAACTTTTTTTTTCTTTTTTGAGACAGAATTTTACTCTCGTTGCCCAGGCTGGAGTGCAATGATGCGATCTCAGCTCACCACAACCTCCACCTCCCAGGTTCAAGTGATTCTCCTGCCTCAGCCTCCCAAGTAGTTGGGATTATAGGCAGGCACCACCATGCCTGGCTAATTTTGTATTTTTGGTAGAGATGGGGTTTCTCCATATAGGTCAGGTTGGTCTCAAACTCCCAACCTCAGGTAATCTGCCTGTCTCGGCCTCCCAAAGTGCTGGGATTACAGGCATGAGCCACCACACCCAGAAAAATTGTCCAAATTTCCCTTTTAAGTTCCAATTTCAGATCATCTCTCTCAAGTTCAAAGTTTCACAGATGTCTATGGCAGGGATAAAATGCTGCCAGTCTCTTTGCTAAAGCACAGCAAGAGTACACTTTGTTCCAGTTCCCAGTAAGTTCCTCATCTCTATCTGAGACCACCTCAGCCTGGACTTCATTGTTTACATCACTATCAGCATTTTGGTTAAAACCATTCAACAAGTCTCTAGGAAGCTTCAAATGTTCCCACATCTTCCTATCTTCTTCTGATCCCTCCAAACTGCTCCAACCTCTGCCTTTTACCCAGTTCCAAAGTTGCTTCCACATTTTGGGGTATCTTCATAACAGTGCCCCATTCCCAGTACCAATTCACAATATTAGTCCATTCTCACACTGCTATAAGGAAATACCCAAGACTGGGTAATTTATAAAGGAAAGAGGCTTAATTGACTCACAGTTTCACATGGTTGAGGAAGCTTCAGGAAACTTTCAATCATGACAAAAGGCAAAGGGGAAGCAAGGACCTTCTTCACATAGTTGCAGGAGAGAGAAGCTCTAACAAGAGCAGGGAAAATTGCCTTATAACATAATCAGATCTCATGAAAATTAACTCTCTATCATGAGAATAGCATGAAGGAAACTACTTCCATAATCCAATCACTTCCCACCAGCTCTCTTCCTAAACACCTGAGGATTACAATTCAAAGTGAGATTTGGGTGGGGACACAAATCTAACCATATCAGTCACAATATATAACTCTTCTTAAACATTTTTGTATTCCATTTGCCAATACCTTGTTGGGATTTTTCCATCTATATTCATGAGAGATATTAGTTTACAGTTTTCCTTTTCTGATTAAGCATTTTTCTTGTTTTGGTATTAGGGTGATACTGACTCATAGAATAGGTTAGAATGTGTTCCTTCAGCTTCTATTTTTGGGAAGAGACTATATGTAATTACATCTTTTTATTCTTTAAATGTTTGGTAGAATTCACTAGTATAACCAACTGAGCCTGGTGCTTTCTTTTTTGAAAGATTATTAACTATTGATTTAATATCTTTGATAGACATAGATCTATTGAGATTATCTATTTCTACTCGTGTGAGTTTGGATAGTTTGTGTTTTTCAAGAAATTGATTAATTTCATCTGAGTCCAAATTTGTGGACATAGAGCTGTTCATGGTATTTATTTATTTATTTATTTATTTATTTATTTTAGTGTCAGTGAGAACAGTAGTGATGATTTCTCTTTCATTTCTGATATTATCAGTTTGTATCTTCTTTTTTGTTTTTGTTATTATGTGTTATGTGTTGAATTGTGTGTCTCCCCTCCCAAACTCATATGTTGAAGTACTAACCGACAGTACCTAAGAAGGTTACCTTATTTGGAAATAGAGTCATTGCAGATAAAATTTGTTAAGTTAAATTGAAGTCATACTAGCATATGGTGGGCCCCTAATCCAATATGACTAGGAGACAGAGACACATACAGTGAAGTGAAAATGCGAGGCAAACACCATGTACAAATCAAAGAATGCCTTAGGCTACCAGAAGCTAGGTGGGAGGCAAGGAACATGAAACTATCTTTGCAAAGACATGACAACAAGAGAAGACTAGCATAGCTGACTCCTTCTTGCTTCTAGCCTCCCAGGCTGGCTGTCCTCACTCATTCCTGAACATTGGCCAAACTAACCATGGGAGTAATTTTGTTTATAGCTTAATGACCCCCTCCTTGTTCAGAGACTGAAACTCCCTTTGTAAGATGAATGAAAGACCATAAGATTAGGATTATGAGAGGAGCCTGAATTCTGCTAAGATGTAGGCATAGTTAAATAACAACCAGCTATTTTTTCCTAGCTTTTTTCTTACTCCTCTGGAGTCATGTGGCCAGATCACAAGATTTGTGACTTCCCCAATTGCTCCTATAGATAACATACCTAAGATTGGTCTTTTGAGATGTTTTTCAGCCTTTTGCATTCTGGCAATCGACTGACTCTACCCAGACCCATGACTCATGACTCAACCAGTCTTGTGGCCCCACCCAGAGGCTGACTCAGCATTAGGATCATTTTTCTCACCCCTGTAATTGTATATCCCCAACCAATTAACAGCACCCATTCCCTAGTCCCCTGCCTGCCAATTTATCCATAAAAACCCTAGCCTCTGAGTTCTCAGGGAGGCTTATTTGAGTAATAAATTCTCATCTTTAATTTGACTACCCCTAAATTAATTAAACAATTTCTCTACTGGAATACCACTGTCTCAGTGAATTGGCTTTATCTGTGCAGTGGGCAAGAAGAATCTGTCAGTTGATTCCAAACAGTCTCCTTTACACAAGGAACCAACCTTAATGCACCTTCATTTCAGACTTATAGCATTCAGAACGGTGAGACAATAATTTCCATTGCTTAAGCCACCCAGTGTGCAGTACTTTGTGACAGCAGATCAAGCTAACTAATATACTGGGCTCTGGGAATACATGAGCTACAGTTTTCAGTGGCTTTAAATTCCTCTAGCATTTTTGTTTTTTTCAACCTTCTTAAATAAAGCCCAGATTTTGCAGTTAGTTTAGCTAAATTCACTTGATTATACTGGATCCCTGTTGATGTGGTGTTAAGGTATGGGGCAAGGGAAACATTCTATAATCCCATGATAAAATCTCAGTCTTTTAGCAGGCCTGTGTCTCTGTGCTGTGACCTTCACAATTGTTTCTTATATTTTCTCCATTAGGTGAGACAGAAAGCATAAAGTGAGCTAAATTTGGGTGAATACCCTTCCTCATAGGTGGGACAAGGGTCTGACAAAGACTTTTCTCCTGGAGAGTAGGCTTTTTGTTATGGAGAGTATTTTGGGTGTATTTCAAAATGATTACTTTTTTTTTTCTCCCCGCTGACAGAGCTGTGAAGCAAAGCTTTTCTGGTTCTTCACCATGGGTTTCCCGGAGGTAAAATCCAAGCAAGCATGGAGGCCCTCCTAAGACTGAAACTTTCTCAGTCTCATGAGTTCACATAGCCTCCAAAAATGCATCTGAGGAAGAAAAATAGCTCAGAGCAGTCTGAGGAATGTGAGGTATGCAGAACTTATCAGGTCCAGAGAGACATGGGTATGAGACTTTAGTTAGGTGCCATCCAAAACACTTTAGTTAGGTGCCATACACAACCCCACCATCACCACCACACCCATGCCCAGTGGCAATTGTTTAAAGCATTTTGTTAGATGGCTGAATAGGAACAGCTCCAGTCTGCAGCTCCCAGTGAGATGGACGCAGAAGGTGGGTGATTTCTGCGCTTCCAATTGAGGTACCTGATTCATCTCACTGGGACTGGTTGGACAGTGGGTGCAGCCCACAGAGGAGGAGCCGAAGCAGGGTGGGGCATCATCTCACCTGAGAAGTGCAAGGGGTTGGGGAATTCTCTCCCCTACCCAAGGGAAGTCATGAGGGACTGTGCCTAAGGAACGGTGCACTCCAGCAGAGATACAGCGTTTTTCCCACAGTCTTCGCAACTCACAGACCGGGAGATTATCTCTGGTGCCTACACCACCAGGGCCCTGGGTTTCGAGCACAAAACTGGGCAGCTGTTCAGGCAGACACCAAGCTAGCTGCAGGAGTTTTTTTTTCCATACCCCAGTGGCAGCTGGAATGCCGGCAAGACAGAACCATTCACTCCCCTAGAAAGAGGGCTGAAGCCAGGGAACCAAGTTGTCCAGCTTGGCAGGTCCCACCACCATGGAGCCCAGCAAGCTAAAATCTACTGGTTTGAAATTCTCGCTGCCAGCACAACAGTCTGAGGTCAACCTGGGACGCTCAGGCTTCATTGGGGGAAGGGTACACACCACTGCTGAGGCTTGAGTAGGCAGTTTTACCCTCACAGGGTACACAAAGCTGCTGGGAAGTTCAAACTGGGCAGAGCCCACCACAGCTCAGCAAGGCCTCTGTGGACAGACTGCCTCTCTAGATTCCTCCTCTCTGGTTAGAGCATCTCTGAAAAAAAGGCAACAGCCCCAGTCAGGGACTTATAGATAAAACCCCAATCTTCCAGGGACAGTGCATCTCAGGGAAGGGGCAGCTGTGGGCATAGCTTCAACAGACTTAAACGACCCTGCCTGATGGCTCTGAAGAGAGCAGCGGATCTCCCAGCACAGTTTTCGAGCCCTGCTAAGGGTCACATTGCCTCCTCCAGTGGGTACCTGACCCCCGTGTATCCTGACTGGGAGATATCTCCCAGTAGGGGCCGACACATCACGTACAGGAGAGCTCTGGGTGGCATCTGGCAGGTTCCTCTCTGTGATGAATCTTCCAGAGGAAAGAACAGGCAGCAATCTTTGCTGTTCTGCAGCCTCCACTGGTGCTACCCAGGCAAACAGGGTCTGGAGTGGACTTCCAGGAAACTCCAACAGACCTGCAGCAGAGGGGCCTGACTGTTAGAAGGAAAACTAACAAGTAGAAAGGAATAGCATGTCCACTCAGAGACACCATCCGAAGGTCACCAACATCAAAGACCAATGGTAGATAAATCCATGAAGATGGGGAGAAACCAGCATAAAAATGCTGGAAATTCGAAAAACAAGAACACTTCTCCTCCAAAGGATCACAACTCCTTGACAGCAAGGGAAGAAAACTGGAAGGAGAATGAGTTTGATGAATTGACAGAAGTAGGCTTCAGCAGGTGGATAATAACAAATTCCTCTGAGCTAAAGGAGCATGCAAGGAACCTAAGAACCTTGAAAAAGGTTAGTTGAATTGCTGACTAGAATAACCAGTTTACAAAAGAACATAAATGACCTGATGGAGCTGAAAAACACAGCACAAGAACTTCATGAAGCATACACAAGTGTCAATAGCCAAATCAAGCAAGCAGAAGAAAGGATACCAGAGATTGAAGATCAACTTAATGAAATAAAGCATGAAGACAATATTAGAGAAAAAAGAATGGAAAGAAACAAGCAAAGCCTCCAAGAAATATGGAACTATGTGAAAAGACCAAATCTATGTTTGATTGGTGTACCAGAAAGTGACGATGAGAATGGAACCAAGTTGGAAAACACTCTGCAGGATATTATCCAGGAGAAATTCCCCAACCTAGCAAGACAGGCCAACATTCAAATGCAGGAAATACAGAGAACACCACAAAGATACTCCTTGAGAAGAGCAACTCCAAGACACATAATCGTCAGATTCACCAAGGTTGAAATGAAGGAAAAAATGTTAAGGACAGCCAGAGAGAAAGGTTGGGTTACCCACAAAAGGAAGCCCATCAAACTAACAGCGAATCCGTCTGCAGAAACCCTACAAGTCAGAAGAGAATGGGGGCCAATATTCAACATTCTTAAAGAAAGAATTTTCAACCCAGAATTTCATATCCAGCCAAACTAAGCTTCATAAGTGAAGGAGAAATAAAATCCTTTACAGACAAGCAAATGCTTAGAGATATTGTCACCACTAGACCTACCTTACAAGAGCTCCTGAAGGAAGCACTAAACATGGAAAGGAACAACTGGTACCAGCCACTGCAAAAACATACCAAATTGTAAAGACCATCAACACTATGAAGAAACTGCATCAATTAACGGGCAAAATAACCAACTAGCATCATTGCTAGTTGAATTGACAGGATCAAATTCACACATAACAATATTAACCTTAAATGTAAATTGGCTAAATGCTCCAATTAAAAGACACAGACTGGCAAATTGGATAAATAGTCAAGACCCATCAGTGTGCTGTGTTCAGGAGACCCATCTCATGTGCAGAGACACACACAGGCTCAAAATAAAGGGATGGAGGAAGATCTACCAAGCAAATGGAAAACAAAAAAAAGCAGGGGTTGCAATCCTAATCTCTGATAAAACAGACTTAAACCAACAAGGATCAAAAGAGACAAAGAAGGCCATTACATAATGGTAAAGTGATCAATTCAACAAGAGTTAACTATCCTATATATATATGCACTCAATACAGGAGCACCAAGATTCATAAAGCAAGTCCTTAGAGACCTACAAAGAGACTTAGACTCCCACACAATAATAATGGGAGACTTTAACACCCTACTGTCAACATTAGACAGATCAACGAGACAGAAAGTTAACAACGATATCCAGGATTTGAACTCAGCTCTGCACCAAGTGGACCTAATAGACATCTACAGAACTCACCATCCCAAATCAATAGAATATACATTCTTCTCAGCACCTCATCGCAATTATTCTAAATTTGACCACATAATTGGAAGTAAAACACTCCTCAGCAAATGCAAAAGAACGGAAATCATAACAGTCTCTCAGACCACAGTGCAATCAAATTAGAAATCAGGATTAAGAAACTCACTCAAAACCACACAACTACATGGAAACTGAACAACCTGCTCCTGAAAGATTACTGGATAAATGACAAAATTAAGGCAGAAATAAAGATGTTCTTTGAAATCGATGAGAACAAAGACACAACGTACTAGAATCTCTGGGACACATTTAAAGCAGAGTATAGCAGGAAATTTATAGCACTAAATGTCCACAAGAGAAAGCAGGGAAGATCTAAAATCGACACCCTAACATCAAAATTGAAAGAACTAGAGGAGCAAGAGCAAACAAATTCAAAAGCTAGCAGAAGACAAGAAATAACTGAGATCGGAGCAAAACTGAAGGAGATAGAGACATGAAACACCCTTCAAAAAATCAATGAATCCAGGAGCTAGTTTTTTAAAAAGATCAACAAATTAGATAGACCGCTAGCCAGGCTAATAAAGAAGAAAAGAGAAAAGAATCAAATAGATGCAATAAAAAATGATACAGGGGATATTACCACTGATCCCACAGAAATACAAACTACCATCAGAGAATACTATAAACACCTCTATGCAAATAAACTAGAAAATCTAGAAGAAATGGATAAATTCCTGGACACATACACCCTCCCACGTCTAAACCAGGAAGAAGTCGAAACCCTGAACAGACCAATAACAATTTCTGAAATTGAGGCAGTAATTAATAGCCTACCAACCAAAAAAAAGTCCAGGACCAGACGAATTCACAGCTGAATTCTACCAGAGATACAAAGAGGAGCTGGTACCATTCTTTCTGAAACTATTCCCAACATTAGAAAAAGAGGGAATCCTCCCTAACCTATTTTATGAGGCCAGCACCATCCTGATTCCAAAACACAACAAAAAAAAGAAAATTTCAGGCCAATATCCCTGATGAATATCCATGCAAAAATCCTCAATAAAATACCGACAAACCGAATCCAGCAGCACATCAAAAAGCTTATCCACCACTATCAAGTCGGCTTCATAACTGGGATGCAAGGCTGGTTCAACATATGCAAATCAATAAATGTAATCCATCACATAAACAGAAGCAATGACAAAAACCACATGATTATCTTAATAGATGCAGAAAAAGCCTTTAACAAATTCAACAGCCTCCATGCTTAAAACTCTCAATAAACTAGGTATTGATGAAACATATCTCAAAATAAGTTACCACAAGTTGCACAATGTGACCTTCAGCCATTATCTTCATGGTCCTGGAATGTGTGATACAAAGAACAATGTATAGCCAACCACTAATCAATGTTTTTTTTCTGTAAACCAATGAGAATTCCTGATGAGCAACTTTGTATAATCCCATTCCTGTCCCCCCTCTTCACCTTTAGAAACCTGCTTGTAACAAAGGCCAAATGGGGAGCTCATATCCAAATTTACTGAGGTCTGAGTTTTCTGGGCAACTGTTCTTACCTTGGCTTAAGTAAACTCTTTAAAATTATACTTTGTTCCTCAGCTTCTTCCTTTAGGTCAGCATGTCAAAATTACCATTTAAGTGTCATTATCAGTTTATTGCTCCTATGGATTCTGGTCCAGGTAAGCTGATCTCAGCTATGATTCTCTGTATTTGCTGGTGTCTCCAGATTTCAGGATGACAGTTTATTTTCTGACCTCAATTTTCTGAAGGTTTCAAGAAAAGCAATTGATTTTTCATTTTGTTCAAGATTTTTTTTGTAAAGATGGAAGTGACTATTTCCAAGCCCTCTATGTGTCAGAGATGAAAGCAGAAGTCGAATTTATTTTTTTATTTTATTATTTATTTTCTTTTCTGCTCCCATACTACAAGGAGAATTTATTTTTTAAAAAACAAAACTTAGCATCTAAAATTCCTTCTATGCCATATATTTATGTAATTGTAACCAAAACTTAGACATATTAAAATTTTAATGAGTTTTTTGAACATTTAACAATTCATGAATTACAAGCAGTTTAGCACTTTAGAAAGAGGGTGTGAGGGCAAAACTTTTATAAGGTGCTCATGGAAGCAAGACAAAGAAAATATTTGATTCATTAAAGTGGAAAGTCCCTAGTTAAGGGTTAGTTGGCAGTATCTGATCAGTTAAGCTAAAAGTTTCATTTTGCTATTTACGATGAGTTGGGTTTCAGTTTGCTTATATAGTTGGAAGTTTCTGATTGGTTAAGCTAAAAGTTTCATTTCACTATTTACAATGAGTTGGGTTTCAGTTTGCTTATGTAGGACCTAAGGCCTAAACCCATCTCAGCCTAATGGCCTCTCATTAATTTTGTAACACAAGTTTTTAAATCCAAAATACCTATGTTACACATATATATATATTATGTGTATATATGTACATACAATTTATTTATCTTTCCTTCAACTGTTGGATTTGAACTTTTTCTTGCTCTTCATTAGAACAATAAATATTCTTTTTTATGAACTTGTGTCAGTTTCTTTATGGCATAAACCTAGAAACTGAAAATCTAGATTAGAGACGTGAGTATCAACTTCTCTAGATACTAATTACTTTAACAACTTGTATTTCCAACAAGAATCTGAGAATTCTGTTTAACCTACTTTTTATAATACTTTTCCTACATAATGAATGTGAAATATTACCTTTTTGTAATTTTGACAAGTATTCCCCTTATTACTAGTGAGGTCGAGATATTTTCTTATATTTATTGGCCATTCAGGTTCTCTCCTCTATAAATTGATTTTTTACATATTTTAACCATTTTTCTATCAGGCTGTCATTTTGTATTGATTTGTAGGAACTCTTTCTATGCTGAATATTAATTCTTTGTTGATTTTATAATCCTGTGTTGATTACGTAACTTACTTTTTCTCCCTTATATGGTATCTTCTGATACAAAAAGTTTTTTTAATGTATAAAAATGTATTGGTATTTTCCTTTATGGTTTGTATTTTTGTGTCTTGTGGCAAAATTATTTTTCAATTCTCATGTTTTAAATGTTTTCTTCTGAAATTTTTTCCATTTCATATTTAGGTTTTTAATTCAACTAAATTGTTTTGTCAATTTCACCATGTAATTCAGTTTTCACTTCATATATTTCAAGGCTATGTTGTTACACACTCACAAATTCATTATTATTATATTCTCTTGGTAGAATGTTTTTTATCCCTATCAAAGTTTTCAGTCTTACATTTTATTTTATTTTAATATTGATATATCCTTTGTCTGGTTATTATTTGCCTAGTATATTTTTCAATACTTTCTTTCAAATCTCTGTGTAGTTTTTGTTTTAGTCGGATCTTTTATAAACAACATATAGTCAACATGATAGACTGTACTTCAATAAGTGAATTCAACTTATTTACATTCACTGTGATAACTATATATTCTTTTTCCTTTGTAATTCATGTTTTCTGTTTACCATCTTTCTTCCCCATTTCTTTTTTATTTCTGTTCCTCCCTTCTGGTAGATTAATAAAGTTTTCTACATTTTTTTTTATCTCCTACTCTCATGGAAACCCTAGACTATATTTTTCTTCCCTTAGTTGGCATCCTATATTTTTAATACATATATAGTTTTATTTTAAAATCTGGAATTAATCCACATCTTTATAGTCCTCCTAGAACACTACAATGCTTTAACATCCCTTCATCAAAGCACACACATTCAACCCTTTAATCAATTTGTGTGCCTCCATTTTTCTTAATGTTGTGTGTGACTCCAATTTTTCAAGTCATTTGTCATCCCTCTAAGTCTACTTCTCTTCCTATTAAAGTACATCAAGTAATCAGTTCTCATTGAAAATCAATTAGTGGTAAATTCTAAAGAAATGTGTATGTCTGAAATGTCTTAATTTTGACCTTGGAATTGTGGTTTACCTGAGTGTAAGTTTCTAGGCTGATGAATATTTTCTCTCAAAATATTGAATATATTACTTCCTTGTCTTTTTTCATCAGTTGTTTCTGATGAAAGTTCTGTACTCAGTCTTGTATAGATAATTTGGGAATTTTTTCCTTTGAGAGTTTGAAATTTTTCCTTTTTATACTAAATGTTTTTCAGTTGCATTATGCTATGTCCAGCTATGGATTTATTTTTATTTTATTTGTAATTTTTAAAATCTCCAGGATAAAAGTTCATGTCTCTCTTCAATTCTGGGAAATAGCAGAAGTAACATATGTTACTTTGCCATTATTTTCCTTCTTCACTTTTTCTGAAACAACAATCAGACATTTGTTGAAGTCTCTCAAACTCTTCACCATATATTTTAATTGTCCTTTCACATATTTTTATTTCTTTTTTCTCTGTGCTTCATTTGGGTAAATTCCTCAGAAACATCTTTCAATACACAAATTTTATTTTTTTTTAACCATAACTGGAATTTAGCAAACCTATTGAATATACACATATATGCATAAAATACATATAAGATGTATGAATGTGTATATCATATATAAAGTACATATATAACATTATGCATATATTATATATAATACATATGTAATGTAGACACACAATTTATATATATAATTTCCAAGATTTTCAATTAACTTTTTCTTATCTATCTTTAATTTCAACTTTTTAAAATAATTTCTTGTTCTGTTTTTATTAATATCCCTACATTTATTTCTTTGACAATCCTAAACATGCTTATTAAAATGTAAATTTATTTTTATTTGGAATGAATTCATAGTTAATTTTGTCTGTCCTTTTTGATCTTAGCTGCTTTGTGTGTTTTTGAATTTTGTTTGTGAACTCTTAAGTGGATTCTCTGTCTTTTTTTTTTTTTTTTTTCAATCTCTCTTTCTTTCTTTGCCTGTTTACCAGTCCCAATTTGGCAGATTTGCAGTTGCCTCCACCTGGCATCCAAGATGTTCATTGTGATGATATTGAAGTCATCACTGATGGAGTCTCTGGTGTGTTGGTTCAGTTCCTGGTTGGTTCCCGATTGTGGTATGATGTCAGTGTTCTCACGACTTCCTGAAGAAGCCCAACTTCACATAAAGACTGATGGCATCCCTACCTACTGTGCTGTGGCTGTCCAGTGATTACCTTGTGGCCTGTTGTCTCTGTACGGATAATTCTCTATGTTGCCTTTGTGATCCCTCCAAGCTCCCTGATGAGCATGGTCCTGAAGTGTAACAGCAATGCCTTCCTTGCTCTTAGTGGGCAGTATAAGCCCATCACACAGTACCATTTCTTGTTTACCAAGTCACCTCTTGGTACTGGTATGGTGGGACTCTTGGCCAACTCACTTCCATGACTGTTGAAATCATTATTTGTGGTTTCTAAAGGACTTTTTTACACATAGCCTTGTCTTATATGATCTTAATAGGATTCCTGTCATCCTCATCTGAATAGATGGAGAAAATGAGAAAAAGAGCAGTTAAATGTCTTGGCCAAGATCACAAGACTAGTATTTATATTGACGAGTCAGGACTTTCCAGTCCTTCTCATAGGGAAAGGAGGCAGGGAAATTTTGGGCAGAAGAGAGTGGGTCCCCAGTGAGGACCCCACCCTCAAGCCTGGAACTGTGGCCCAAAGTAAGAACTTGCATTCCTGTTTTCCCCCTCAAATGTTGCCTTTTCCAAAACTACCCATGGCCTGCTCTGCCCCCATCCTGTGCCCATAAAAACCCCAGGCTCAGCCAGCAGGAGGAAGAGAAGCAACTGGACAACAGAAATTACAGTGGGATGTCAGAGAGAAGTGGCTTGACTTCAGAAGGACAGCTTGATGGCATAGCTTCAGAGAGGAGTCTGGCTGGGGATGGCTAGACTTCAAGGGAAGATTACCTTCCCGCTCTGTCCACTTTTCAGCTTCCTTTCCCTCTGAAAGCCACTTTCATTGGTAATAAAATCCCCTGCATTTACTATCTTCAAGTCGTTTGTGCCACCTCATTCCTCTTGGATGCTGGACAAGAACTCGAATGTGGATGCAAAAGGCTGTCACACTGACCCTCCACTGAGCTGTTAACACTTAAGCCATCCGTGGATGGCAAAGCTAAAAGGGCACAGTAACACTTCCTTTGGGGCTTTTGGACACCCTCCCCTAGATGCTGCTGTGGGGCTAGTATGGAGTTTGCTCTTGCTGGTGCCCAAAAGTGCTCACCCTGGCTCCAGCACCTGCTCACCTGCTCTCCCCCTCCCATAAGGGGTGAAGCAGCTAGTGAGTGGAGTTTGCCCTTGACAGTACCTGTGTACTCTAGTTCCCGCCAGCAAGGGAGTCAGGGAGATATCTTGCTTCACTTCCAGGATAATAAATCTTTCTTTATCTTGAAATGGATCTGATGCATTTTTGTGTGGAATGCCATATCAGTAAATCACACATTCTGTAATCACTCAGATGGTATGAGCTCTGGAGGTACTCAAGGCAGGGAAGACAAACACATATGCAGAGAGAGTATCAATTGTAGTAAGGATAAATTAGTCGAGGGTGGAAGAGGTCTGATATAATCAACCTACAGTTAAGTGCCTGGCTGTTATCACTGAAAGACGGTGTCATATGCAGGCTCAGCTCTGGTCTATGCTATGCAGGTGGGCCAATAAACAGTGGCAGTGGCAGGGCCAATAAGCCAATTTTGTGAGACAGAGTCCCTGATATTGGGCACATAAATAATCTCCAAATCTATTATCATGGCCATCCATTCCAAGGCTCATTGTGCAGACACTGCAGTAGCTAAAGAGAGAAGCTGTTAACATCTGTGTGATGAGTTTCTCTTTGTGGTTGTCTGGTGTCTTCTCTTCAGTAGATGCTCTCCGGTGCACATAACGTAAGACAAAAGGATCCACAAAGTGTGTAATCACTTCCAAAGGTCCATTCATATGCCTCTTCCCCAGACTTACTTGTTTCCAATATTACATTTTGCTCCCTCCATGCCTCCTCTGCTCAAGGTTTTATTTATATCCATACTTCAGATTATTTCCCCCTCCAAAAAATCATGACCAACTGCACTGCTTGTAGCTCTGCCTGCTGGAGGGCTTGCCCTTCACCATTTGTTGTCAGGGTATCTGATGAGTGTGACTGTGATATGGCAACTGTCCATTTTTTTGTTAGCACCAACATATCGAACTGACCTATCTGTGAACCAAGCCTTTAGTTTCTACTTCTCTCAGTTAGTCATGAGGAATTCCTATTACACCACAAATCTAATTTGAAGGAGAGGCAATAGTAAAACTGAGATAAGTGATGTGGAGTTCTGTGTCACCTCTTTATGTATTACTTGTGACCCCTGGACCTGCTCAGATATGATCTGAATGTGTCATTCCACCATTTGACAGATGGCTGTTGCATTTGCTTGACATCATGGCTCCTATGATCTGATAATATCCAACTCATGTTGGAAAACTCTAGTCACATAATCACTTGTGTTAGTTTGTTCTCACACTGCTAATAAAGACATACCAGAGACTGGGTAATTTATAAAGGAAAGAGGTTTAATTGACTCAAAGTTCAGCATGGCAGAGGAGACCTCAGAAAACTTACAATCATGGTGGGAGGGGGAGCAAATACATCCTTCTTCTCATGGTGGCAGGAAGGTGACATGCTGAACAAAAGGGGGAAAAGCCCCTCATAAAACCATCAGTTCTCATGAGAACTCACTCACTATCACAAGAACAGCATGAGGGTAACTGCCCCCATGATTAAATTACCTTCCACCAGGTCCCTCCCACAACACATGGGGATTATGAGAACTACAATCCAAGATGAGATTTGGGTGGGGACACAGCCAAACTATATCATTTGTTATCTCATAGTCAGGCACTCCGTCTCTTTTACAGCTCTTTTTTAAACATCAACTTGTTTTCTGCACAAAAGTCCTGCCAGTACTCCAGAATCCTGGAGAATCTGCAATGTATTTCTCATATTAGGCCTTCCAAGGGACTCTGAACAGCATTTTAATCCACAATAAATACTTTGAGCATTATGGGATCTGCTGGGCCACATGGCCTGAATAGAAGAGCAGCTGACATCATGTTTTGAATTTTCTACAAACCTCTTTATTTTTCTGGACTCCACAGACCATAAGATCCCTAAAAACTTCATTGCTGTGATAAATTCCCAGACTCGTTTGGTATATCTTCTAACCCTTTCGCATGTGTTTATCTTACTAAAGAATTCCGAGTACTTGCCACTTCCTGTCCTCTAGTCCAATTAGCATGATGTCATCAACATAGAGGACAGATAGGATGTTCAGTGGAATATCAACATGATTAAGGTCCTTGCAGACTATATTAACAGACTTAAGGTAGCCATGGATTGCCTGTATGAATATAGACTGCTCTCCTTCCAATGTAGATGCAAACTGTTTTTGATTGTTATTACTGATAGAGATTAAAATAAGTCCATTAACTACATCAATAGCTACACAATTAAGTGATAGCATTGATCTATTGCAGTGAAGACACCAAATCTGGCAGAGCATCTGTGATTGGGACTACCACTTGGTTAAGTATATGGTAGCCCACTGCCAATATGCTTGATTCATCTACTTTTGTTGGGGGAATACAGATGATTTGAACAGAGATTTATTAAAAGGATCATTACTTATTGCTTCTTTAACTTTTTGATAGTAATTCTCATTTCTGAAATTCTCAGGATGAAGCATTGCATCTGATTTACTGTCTTGACAGGAGGATATGGGGGCAATTCAGGAACTTCTACTTGGCCCTTTCTACTGTAATGGCTCTCATTCTGTATGTCATGGAATCAGTGTGAGAGTTGGCAAGCTGATAAGAATTTCACAATTACGTACTCGAGGACTAGAGAAATAACCATTGTGAGTTTGAAAATGCATTGGACCCACTTATGAGATAGACTTGTGTTAGAATTCTATTAATCTTCTTACTCTAAGCACCCCACTACTCTAACCAGAGGACTACAATGGTGTTTTAGATCTTAGGCATCAGAGTCAGCTTGTAACCTATATATAACAGCCTTCAAAAGGTATAGGTAATCCTGTACTTTTGCAGACTGAGGCAAATAAGTGCATGTCCCTGTGGGGAAAGATTGGGAAATTATTTCTTATATTTACTTGCTGTGACATTGCAGAGGCCTTCCTCAAGAGAAAGCTCTCTTCAATCAATGGACTCTAGATCTATAAACTGGTTGAGATCTTCAAAACTGACTGCAGTATCATAATTTTCTAATATGTTGGCTGAAATCTGCTCTCCAGCTCTTTGTCTTTTTGATTATGCAAGTTTGGCTATACTTGTCATACTGTTTTGGCTGCCTGTGCATCTTATTCCTAGAAACGAACTGTGACCTCTTAAACATAACCACAGACCCCGGTCACCATTCTGGTCTTGCTGCTCACTATTATTGTTTCCATCTTGCTTCTTTATTTAAGTGCTTCCCTTGGGAAATTGCATTTCCAGAATACATTCTCTAATGCAAATATCCATTTGTATGGAGCCCAGTTCTTGCGTGTATCTCCTACTCTCTTTTTTATTTTATCATTTCTAATGTTTTTAGAGATGTGGTCTTGCTATGTTGTCCAGGATTATCTCAAACTCTTGGCCTCAAGCAATCCTCTTGCCTCAGCCTCCCAAAGTGCTGGGATTACAGGCATGAGCTATTGCATCCAGCCATACCTCCTACTCTCAACCCTGGCCCTCAGCAGATAGCCAGCACTGAGCTTGTCAAAAAGTCCAGGATCCTCTGCATCAGTACATTCCGTATAGCCTTAAAGAAAGGAGTGCCCTCTTATCCTTAAAATAAGGAGTGTTTTATTTCTGGGAAAAATATGGAAATAGTGGGTTATCTGGGATCATGTAATAAATTTATTCTAAATTACTCTCTTTCCTGAGCTCTGTGACATTCTTCCAAGGCAGTTCCAGCATTTATTTTATTTTAAGATATTATATCTGGGCCAGGATATTAAATCCAGAGTCATGAAAAAGTGTCCACTTAGAAATAAATTTCCCCATTCATATATTCTGCCCATTTTCACATCACTATCCACTATTACATATGTTACCCTGGTTTCTGATGGTAAATATAAGACAAGTCTTGCACTTTGTGGGGTATGTTTTCTCAAGCTCTATTTTCCTGCTGAATCTATCCTGAAAGCTGGCCCCAGTTATTGGTCTGCAGGCAACGAGAGAAGATTGAGGCAAATCTCACAAAAAAAATAAGTATTGTCTTGTTCCAAGTGAAATCTCTACCAGTTCTCTTTGCAAGGAGAGGCCACTATCCTCTGATATGGGAAGAAGCTTATTCTACCAGCCCATAGGATTCAAGGCAGTACAGGTATTCCAGATTCAGACCTTCCTACTCATATATCTCCATCCCAGGTTCTAGGGCTCCACTGTTTTCCTATCACAGCCCTGAATGACATCAAATACTTACAGAGGTGTTACACTCATATAAAGTTGACTATGTAGCTCTTCTACCATTAAAATTAGATTCTGTGCCTGATTTTCAGTACAGTCTTGTCCAGGAGCTTCAGAATTTTTTTTTTTTTAATTTTAAAATACTACCATGTAGGACTTCTGATTTCGGAGACAGTCTTGAGTTTATAGTTAGCTAATATAAACCTGTCATTTGATTTTTCAAGGCTGCTATAATCCAGTCCAATTTAGAATTCTTACACTGCTTTTTTAACACCATCTAAGTGCTGAAACTACAGCATAAGCCAATGTTTCACTTTCCTTCTGTGCCTCATGCTGATTGCATGTCAGGAATTTTCACCACCAAATTTACCATCACTACTATAGTCCTTACCACTTCCTGACCAGTTCCAGAATCCCATGCTGTGAATTTGCTTTCTGGGCCCATTTTGGTGCCAACTGTATTAGCCTCAGTTTCCTCCCCACCCCATCCCTACACTCCAGGAAACAGAGCTTGTATGCCGATAGTTTATTTTGGATTTGAGCCCAAGGAAAAGTAGTGGGGCCCTGGGGAAAGTGAAACAGGGAGGGGTGGAAAACCAATACAAGAAATGTGTTATTGCTCTGGGCTCAATCTTGCCAGGACCTACTGAGGAGGTGGACAGAATGCAACTAAGAATTTTTCTGAGCTGTGAAAAGGAGAAAAATTTTCCACCAGCTTCTGTCCTCTATTAGTCAACTGTTGGTTACCCCTGTGACTTTTTATGCTCCTCACATTTCCCAGATGCTCATACATGAATACCACAGGGTTCCAGCAGTTGTCACCTATCGTTCCTGGTGCCCAAGAAGCCTGGAACATAAAGTGAGATGTACGCAGTCACTGAAGTAAGGTACTGTCAGGTCATATTTGCACAAAACTTGTTGTCACAGCAATGTTTATGATAAAAGATAGACAAAAAGAAGGTAAAGTGGGGCATAAAATGTCTTTGATACATATAATGTGCATACTGAGAAATGTTTTTTCATACCTGGTCCTTCATCTGAATATTCAATGTCTTTCTGACTGTGGTTTATATTAGTTGCTGATTTCTGCCACACACAACCCGTATTTCCAACATGGTCCCAAGACAACAAATTTTACTGGAAGCTCTAGGTAATCTATACTTTTGTTTACTCAGCTAGCTAATGACATATTTTTAAAATATTACGGTGGCTCACACCTGTAATCCCAGCACTTTGGGAGGCTGAGGTGGGCAGATCACCTGAGGTCAGCACCACACCAGCCTGGCCAACATGGTAAAACCCCGTCTTTACTAAAAATACAAAAATTAGCCAGGCCTGGTGGCACACACCTGTAATCCCAGCTACTCAGGAGGCTGAGGCAAGAGAATCTCTTGAACCTGGGAAGCAGAGGTTGCTGTGAGTCCAGATCATACCATTGCACTCCAGCCTGGGCAAGAGAGTGAGACTCTGTCTCAAAAAGTAAAATAAAATAATACAATTTCCTAGTGTTACTGTATTATTTGGTGTGAGTTTGGTCCATGATAATATCAAACTTAAAGATATTCTGTCTAAACTTCCCTCTTCCCAGAAGTCATCAGCATATTTACTTTCCTATATTTTCCCATATTTTAAGAAGTTTCATTGTATAAGCCTCAATTTCTTCGGCGTCACTTTTTCCTCCTTTCTCTTCTTGCTTTTACTATGCCAGAAAAGTAAGTATATTGAGCCAGAAAACTTTAAGACATTAAGAAGTTAATTTTCACAGATTCCAATTTCACTTAAGAGAATCTATGCTTTTTAGGAGTCTTTGAATTGCAAATAGACATCTGTAGAAGAAATGGCTAATTGTCTCCCAGTTTCTGTTCTCCTGTGATATACAGCCATAAAATATTTAGCTGCACTGCTATATGTAACTGTGTGACTCCCAAATTTTTTGTGTCAATTTGAGTGGGCCATACAGTGTCCACATTAAACATTGTCTCTAGGTGTGTCTGTGATGGTATTTTAGCATCCAGAACTGGTGGACTAAATAAAGTTGATTGCCCTCCCCAAAAGGGTTGGATATCATCCAGCCTGTTGAGATAATGAATAGAACTAAAAGGAGCAGAAAGAGGAATTCACACCTTTTTTCCTTCCTCACTGTGGGTCTCTGGTTCTCAGGCCTTCAGACTTGCACTGAATTACACCACTAGCTTTCCTGGGTCTCCAGCTTACAGACAGCAGACTGTGGGAATTCTCGGCCTTCATAATCACATGAGCCAATATAATAAATCTCCTTATAGATAGATAATAGATAGAAAAAATATATATCTAAGATTTCATATATAGATATATACAATGTAGCTATAGATACAGATATAGATACATCCTATTGGTTCTGTTTCTCTGGAGAACCTGAAGTAATATAGATTTTGGTACTGAGAGTGGTTCTAGAGGAGTAGAATTTTAAGGATAAGTTTTCTGAATTGGTTCTTGGGTTTTAGGACTGAATTGTGTGAAAATGGAAGGGAAGTTTGGAAAAGAAAGAGGAAAAGTCATTCATTTTATTCTAGACATTCTTGCCCTGGTTGTACACTAGAACTACTCAAGGAGCTTTTAAAGATTATTGATGCTTGGCCCTATCCCTAGAGATAATTGATTGTCCAATAGAGTTCCTGAGCATCTGCTTTTTTGAGAGCTCCCCAGAGGTCAATGCACACTGTGGTTTAAGAATCCCTGCTCTATTGTGGGGGAAAAAATGAGATTATAGAGGTAAAGATTAAGAATCACTGCTCTATTGTGGGAAAAAATGAGTTTGAGGATCTTGAGAATGGAGCATGTGAGAAAACCCACCTGATGGCTTCCCTTTTGTCCATTATATAGGAAGACATTTCATCACATGAGAGTGATGGAGGTCAAAATTGACAGGGGATGCGCAGTTGAGAATCTCCGAAATATGCTTTTTGAGAGAGAAAGACAAAGCTAAATAAAACCTAGATTACTGGGCATTGTACATTGCCTATTTGAAGTTACATGCTTTCCGGCCTGGGAAATTTCTCAAATATTAAATTTATATATTTTTAAATACATATAGAAAAAAAAGAAAGGCAGTAAACAACAGGAAATAGATATTGTATTTGGATAACATAGGTTTTCTCCCTTCTTTGTATATTCTGTATTTTTTAAGTTTGAAAATAAACTTTTATTATAGTCACAGTTGAAGAAATAATGATATTTAGCTTTACTGAGGTATAATTGATTCAGAAAAACATTGTACACATTTAATATATACATCCTGATATCTATAACCTCCAAAAAAAAGTTTTAGTTTTCAAAGAAAATGAAATCAATGGTGAATCAGCAAGCAGAAATTTAATGGCACTGTATTAATTTGCCAAGGCTGCCATAACAAAGTACCACAGACTGAGTAGCTTAAGCCACAGAAGATTAAGTGAAGATTAGTAAGTGTTCAATTTAAGAAAGCATTGAGTGAGCTTGTCTTGCATTCCTACACAAAAAGTACAACTGCAATATATTCCACAACAGCAAAGCAAAATAAGTAAAATCATTCCAAGTAAACTAAACAGGGAAGCTTTCCAAAAACTGGGAAGTTGTTGGAACCAAGTCGATAAAGGGTCAACTGATGGTACATCGATGTCAGAGAGATGAGTGTCTAAAGCTTTCACAGGCTAGGTAATAGTCTGGAACATAATAAAGTCCCCCACAAACTTAAGCTGGCCGATTGAATATGTCAGAGCAACCCAGAAGTGGAGGAAAGTGGCAATTCTCCACCTACCCAACAGTTTGACTGATTATGTAGAGGCTAAAGTCTGTGCCCACTCAGTAAATAAGTTACTCTCTGCATGATTCCAACTTATACCCAAAAGTAGATTGTCAATCTATATTTTTCTGTAACCCTTCCCTTTCATTTCTTCCAAACAGGAGTCAGAGGTCACTGATTCACTCACAGGAATAAACAGGATCAGTCTCTTGTGTTCCACAGGTCTGTGGGACTTCGTAAGAGTCAGGTTTAATTTGAGGTAAGTGGACCCAGCTGTTTATTCCCAGGAGTTTAGCTGCAGTTGGGCTACTAAGGAATTCATAGGGCTGAAGATGTGTTTTGGGTAATTGTTGCTGTGAAAGATGGGCCATTATCATTCTGTAAGCTCTTAGGCAGCACAAATCTGGGAATTATTTCCTTTAGTAGGAGCTTAGAAACTTCAATTGCCTTTTCAGACCAGATAGAAAAAGCCTCAATTCAACCAGTAAAGGTGTCAACGAATACTAATAAATAGTTAAACCCTTTACATTGGACTATCTGAGTACAGTCTATTTGCCAATCTTCACCAAGGTACATTTCTCTGTGCCGAACAGGCCTTACTAGAGGAGGAGGTAAAGATCGGTTATTTGGGTTATTCTGGGCACATAGTTCACAGGCCTGAGTCACCTGCTTTGCTGTTTTAAGTAAGTCTTTTCCTACAAAAAGCTGTGACATTGATTGATACAGGGAATCGCTTCCCAAATGAGTAGAGTCATGCAAATGCTTAACTATTTTCCAGTGATTAGCACCTGGTGTCAACAGTTTGTTATCATTGATAAGCCAGCCAGAATGATCTTCAATTAAACCCTGACCTTCAATGGACCTTCAGTCCATTCCTCTTCCTCTTTAATATATCTTGGTTCTGTTATTATCATGGCTGGGGGCTCCTTTAACACTGTGGCCTTAGCAGCTGCATCTGCAAAGGAGTTTCCCTTAGTCACACTAAGGGAAGAGCCTCTTTTCTCAGCTCACTGCAACCTCCACCTGCCAAGCTTAAGCAATTCTTCTGCCTCAGCCCCCTGAGGAGCTGGGATTACAGGCACCTGCCACAATGCCCGGCTAATTTTTTTTGTATTTTTAGTAGAGACGGGGTTTCACCATGTTGGCCAGGCTGGTCTCGAACTCCTGACCTCAAGTGATCCACCCCCCCCCCTTCCCAATCCCCACTCCTAAGCCTCCCAAAGTGCTGGGATTACAGGCATGAGCCACCGTGCCTGGCCCAGAATTTCTAAGTGATGTTTTATAGGGGAACCCTTAGCAGTTAGGAGTCCCTATTCCTTCCAGATAGCAGCATGAGCATGAAGTATCAGGAAGGCATACTTAGAATCAGTGAAATGTTAATTCTTAAGTCCTTTCCCAATTGCAGGGCTCTAATAAGAGCTATTAATTCCGCCTTTTGAGCTGAGGTAGAAGCTGGTAAGGCCTGAGATTCGATTACCTCGTGTTGACTGTCAACGGCATACCCAGCTTTCCCATCTCCCTGGTGCACAAAGCTACTTCCATCTGTAAACCATACTGCCTCAAGATTATCTAGAGGCTTATCCTTTAAATCTGGACAGCTGGAGTAAACTTGCAGCATAACTTATATACAAGAATAATGTACGATACTTGTGGGTTCAGGCAAATAGGTAGCTGGATTCAACATATGGCATACTTTAAGTGTTATATCAGGATGTTTAGCAACAAAGGCTGATATTTACTCACAGGAAAGAAGAAGGAGCAATTTCAGTCTGCCTTATGATTTCCAAAAGATAGTACTCTTCGCAGCTGAGTTAACAAATCCCTTCCCAACAAGGGGTGGGGCATTCAGGAGAAAAGCAAGGTCCCTGAAGAGCAGCTTAAAGGATAGGTAAAATGGCATCTATGGGCTTGTCATCTATCCCCATGGCCATACAGTTCTGGGGTGACAGAGACCCATTATAATGGGTCAAAACAGAATAAGCAACCCAGAAGGAAGTTAATGTTCTTACCTGCCACGTCAAGGGTTACCCAAGGCTTCTCCAGAGATAATAACTAGTTGTCTGATGGGAGCTGTGCTGGAAAGTCTCAGACCCCGTCACTCTTGGGTTTGCCTGGCTATTTCAGCCATCATTGCTTCAGGTGCCAATGGCTCCCTTCAGAGCACTGGGCAATCCCTCTTCCAAAGGCCAGTTTTCTTACAGTGTGCACACTGATTAATGCCCAAGGCAAGGTGACTCTGACTTCCCACCTTTCAGCTTCCCTTGTTCAGGCCAAGAACCAGGAGGGCAACCCCATGTGGGAGGTAAGCTTAAGTCTGCAGCCAAGAGCTGCACCTTGTGGGAGGTCCTTCTTACTCCTTCTGCTTCCTCTGCTTTGTCCCTGTTATTGAAAACTAAAAATACCATATCCAAAAGCTGTTCCATATGGGAGTTTGGGGACCCATAGCTGCTTTTTCTAGTTTCCTATGGATATCAAGGGCAGACTGGGTTATAAAATGTACTCTCAAAAGGGTTTGTCCTTCCCTTGAAGCAGGATCAGTGTTAGTATATTTCCTAATTGCCTCAACTAAATGCCCTTGAAACAAAGCTGGATTCTCATCTTTGTCCTGAGAAACTTCCTTAATTTTTCATAGTTAACAGGCTTTTTCATACATTTCTTCATCCCTTCCAACAAACAAGTGACCATATGATCGCTCCTCCCCAAGTTGTCACTGCCCCTTTGATAGTTCCACTCTGGATCTTGATCTGGAACTGCTCTACCTCCTGCCTGATATGTATTATGGTTTGGGTTGTTAGCCAATGCCTCATCTGCATGAGCCCTAGCTGTCCCCAAAATGCATTGTTTCTCTTCCACTGTACAACACAGAGACAACAAAACATGGAGATCCTGCCAAGTTAACTATAGGTCAGAATTAATTTCTCAAATTAATCTATGAATCTTCCTGGGTCTTCAGAGAAATCACCAAACTTCTCTTTACATAGAGTCAAATCAGACAAAAAAAAAAAAAGGGAACATGTACTCTCACAGTGCCTTCTTCCCCATTTGCCACCTCTCTAAGTGGACAAAGGTTTCCCTTTGGAGGTTGATAGGAGGCTCCACTAGGGGTAGTACTCACCAGGCTAAGTTCCTCAGGGAGTGGTGGGTATAGAGTGGGGCTAGATGGGTAAGGAGGATGGGACAAAGGGTTCTCCAAGGGGATAGAGGGAGAAAGGACAGACACATCTGAACCTTCAGAGCTGACAGAAGGAGGTTCTGCTCCACCCAAAACTGCCTGCTGAACCAAGGTTGCTTGCATTAAAGGATCATCTAGTATGTCTAGCTTTTTTTCCTCTTTTCCTCTCATCAAACATGATTCACATTATCCAAATAACATAAGTGAGCTGAGTCATGAATCTTAGATAAACCACAACATGGACTTTGACAAAAATGTTGAATAAGGCAAGGGAAATGAAGAGGATTTAGATGGGAATGACCAGAGCAAGCAGGTTCTGGGCAATAGAGACAGTGTGGATTGAACAAGCAAAGCCGGTTTGCCTGAATGCAAGAAAGGAAAGAAGTGTTTTTAGTGTGCAAAGTGAAACAAAACATCAGAGTCCCCTGATTTCCATCCTAGTGCTTCTCGATCACACCTAGTCGGCATAGCAGCAACAAAACATAATCTAATTTTATTGCTCATAGCTGTTGAATACCAAATCTCAATCAGCAATTTTAAAGACGGAGCCGTCAATGCTTTTTGTTCCCAATGTTTCAAGAGCAGACACATGGAAATCAGGAGGCACATAGGAAAAGAGTAAGTTAAAATCCCTAAGACCATTTAGATAAAGTCTCCCGAAAATGACAGTGAAACACAGACAGCAACCAAGAAATTGATTTATGCAGCAAGGAGGACAAGGCAGATTAATACAAAGTGCATAGCCTGCAGTGCCAAACCCTTTTTTAGCAGAGAGGGACTTTACTGAGAGGGCCCTCTAACCCCCTAAATCTTAGAAGGAACTCTAAACCTTTTAAGTTGGTCCTCTAATCCGAGGTCAGTCAAGCATCTTTGCCTTTTATTAACAGGGGTCTCTAATTCACCCTGTCTTCGGAGAGACTCTAATTCCCCTAAGTTGGGCCTCTAACCCAATCCCATTCTTTACCCGGGTACCCCACCACTTACCCAAAGTCATCCAATCAGTGCTATAGTCCATTTCCTTTGGGTTGGTGGGGAGGTTCTTCAGTATCGGTCCCTCATGGTTGCCAGAAATGTTACAGGACCAGGGTTCCAATCCAGACCCCTAGAGAGGGTTCTTGGAGCTCATGCAAGAAAGAATTCAGGGCGAGTCCACAGTGCAAAGTAAAAGCAAGTTTATTAAGAAAGTACAGTGGTAAAAGGACAGCTACTCCACAGACAGAGTAGGACGTTCCCGAAAGTAAGAGGAGGAACACATCCACCCTAGGTACAATGCTTGTATATATGGAGAGATGTGTTTTGCTACAAGGGTTTCTGATAAAGAATTAATTTTCTTAATTAGTGTATTTTGCAAGAATCAATATTATTTTCTTTAAAGCAAAATTAAGAATGCCTCTGTTCTCCAGATATTGGGATATCTGGACACTCCCAAGTCACGGTCTGCTTAGTAAATATTATTAATTTGCTCCCTTAATCATAAACATCTAGAGGCTAGGAATGCCTACCTTTCTGAGAAGGCAGCCCAGCAAGTCTCAGCCTCATTTTCGTAGCCCTCATTCAAAATGGAGTCACTCTGGTTCGAATGTCTCTGACATTATCAGGGTTGGTTTCTTCTGATGTCTCTCTCCTTGGCTTGTAGATGGCCATCTTTTCTTTGTGTCTTCACATGGTCTTCCCTCTGTATGTGTCTGTGTCCCAATCTCGTCTTCTTACAAGGACACAGTCAGATTCAATTACAGACACTCTAATGACCTCATTTTAACTTAATTATCTCCTGAAAGACCTTATCTCCAAATACAGTTACATTTGGAGGGAGTGAGGATTAGGACTTTAACATATGAATGTTTGGGGGACACAATTCAACCAGTAACAGGAACTTAGATTGCACTGACATATTAATTTTCTCCCTGGTATTTCCATTCTCTTTGTCCTGTAGGTAGTTTTTTGGGTCACTGGGTTTTTTTGTTTGTTTGTTTGTTGTTTCCTTATTCCTTAACTCTTATAACTTAAAAATCTGCCTGGTAAACAGTTTCTAAGCAGTGATTCAAATTTATTGATATTTTTGGTAATGTTATTGATTAAAAAACATTTCAGATCCTTCTAAACTCAAGAAAAAAGAATGTTCTAAAGCAAAACTGAAACTGTCTATACTTCAACTTCCTCCTGCTTCTCAACTGGCACTCTGACACACCCTCAGAAAGTCAGAGTACTGGGAGAACAGAAGACTTCACAATTTAATGCCTCAGTTTTTAAAAAAGGATCCTTACACTTCATGTCTCCTAGCCATCAGAAGAGGAATGAGACAGCAAAAGTTCAAATGGCCTGTTTCAAGTTTCTGATATAAAACGATGACATTTTCAGGAAAATCCTGGTAAGTAAACTGAATCATTAAACCTTTATTTGTTATGCTTTTGAGGCGACAGCTATTTTTTAAAACTTCAGCTGTACTTTTTATATAAATATATGTTTGTACATAAACGATTACTTATAAAAATACTAGAGTAATTAGAAAAATCAATGGATTAAATACATGTCAGTATATTTAACTGATAATAACTTTGTAAGTGCTCTTCTAAAAAGAAACATACCATTAAGTGTAATTAGGATAGTGGGAGGGTTTCTGATTGTGGCAGGCAGGCTTTGGAAAAGAGGATAGAGAAACGATGCAAACAGGGTCAGGAATTTAAGCACTGAAGATTCTAAAGGAACGTGTGATCTTGTGTAATTACACAAAATTCTGTCTTCATAACGTAAGATGTTATTAAAACTTTTACATTTTATCAAAGTTAATACTCTGCAGAGGCTAAATATTATTCTATTAAAGTATTTCATTCACATACATCTTATCCAGCAATCTGGTTGAAAACTAAGAAAAAAAATGCAAAGTGTTCTTCAGGAAAACGAAACTAACTTGCTTGTGTGGCTTCTGTCTGCCAGACTATGCAAGGAGGGTGTGGGTAGCTCTCCTGGGCTACAGCCAGATTCTGAAGTGTGTTTCCCCTACATCAGTTCTAAGAATCCTGCAGAGCAGAACACCTCCCTAGGGCATGGATATCAGCGGTGTTGCTGAGGGTCTCTCAAAGATGGGGTGGGCTTGTCCCTGAGAGTTTGCTGACTTGGAAATTCTTGCTGAGCATCAAAGAGAGAAAACTGAAGTGTTGAGGATGCCAACCTGCAACTCCTTTGTCAATAACCAACGTTGCTAAAGATAATATTTGTCTTCACAATTGTTTCAAAACAGGACACTGAGGGCCCCTAGAAAGCCAAGACTTAAGTCAAGGCAATCACAAAATTTGTCCACACTAATCATGGTCATTTTGATTGTTACTTAGTTCCAACAGCATACATCCAGATGCTCTTAAAATTGTACTGGCTAAAACGAAAGAAAAAATCTGGAGTCTGTTTTTTCCATCTTTAGCATTTCCAGAGAGAGACTGGCTGGTTAAATTTCTGAAAGAGGACACCAGCTAAAAGAAGGTATTGCATCTCACCCGAGCAGACTGTGTCTGTGGAAAGTGTAAGCCCCTTGCCAGAAGAGCAGCTTCCCAGCAAAGGCAGAGGGTGAAAACAGCAAAGGTCTTAAGACACTGGGGACCTAGAGTCAAAAGGGACCTCCTCCAGGGAAAACGCTGTGTGAGAAATGGCCTCATTCGGTGACTGTGAGTGACACAGCAGAAAGTTGGTAAGGTGTAGTCTGTAACTAGGGTATCTACAAAAACTGCAGGAGAAAATATATTCATTTGTTTTGCTTTCCTTTTGAAAAAAAAACTTCCTTTTCATTATTTGTGACCAGATGATAGAAGCTGGAGTTCATTCTGGCCTAACGGGTAGCACAGTAAAGAGATTTCCCCAGATTTCTACCTGGAGTTCCAGCCAAGCGAAATAATTTCCCTAGGAAAATGAGGAAGTCCTTTGACCCACAGACACTGGTAGCTCAAGGCCTTTCAAATATTCATTACTTTTAACTACTCTAAGAAAATGTGTTACTCATTTAACAGATTTTTGTTAAGAAGCTATTATGTGCTAGGCAATGCCAGATAATGAACAAAATGTAAAGAAATTTGTCCTTATGGAGTGCATAGAATAATGGGTTGGACAGAAAATAAATAGGTTAAAATATATAAAATATTTGCTGCTTGTAAGTCCTAAGTAGATAAAAAATGAAGCCAGAAGAGGGATAGGAAATGTTGGGAGGTGGGATAAAGTTTTCAGTAGGCTGGCCAAACAGTGCCTTGCTGAGAAGGTGACATTTGACAAAAGATCTCAACAAAGTGAAAGAGTGAGCCCTGCTGGTATCCAGGGACATTCCAGGAAGGGAAAACAAGTGTAGTGGCTGGAAACAGGGGCAGGTGCTTCCTTCAGGAAGCAACGAGGAGGTCAGGGGACTGGGCCAGATTTAGAGGGAAAAATAAAAGACCTAATATCAGAGGATTAGCAGGGTACCAGATTGTGTGAGGCCTTGTCAGATGGAAAGCCACAGACAGGGTTGGACACAACATTGATATGATGTTTACATTTTAACAGGGTCATTCCGGCTGCTTTTTTGAGAAGTCCCTGAAGAGATCAATAACAGCAAGAGGGAACCTGGCAAGGAAGCTATTCCTATAATCCAGGAAAGAGATGAGGAAGGCTTGGACCAGGTGGTAGTGGTGTCAGGTAGTCAAATGCTGGGTATATTTTGAAGATACACCCCATAGGATTTGCTCCACATTGAATGTGGAATGCTGGAAGAGAGATAAAGTGTACCTGTCACATACTTTTTGAGTTTTATTTATTTTCTTAGAAGTAAGTACACAAAGAGATGCTACCTAGGAGAAGGGTATTCTTTTCACTATTCTTTCAAATTTTCTGTATGTTCAAACATTTTCATAGTAGAAAGTTGGGGGGAAAATCTGTTTCATAAACATTTCCTCAGCAGCAGTCCAGTCTATTGCATTTTAATTGGTTGTGATATCATTGTTTTATGCAATACGTTCTCAACAAGTATATCCTCCGGCAAACTGAACAAGGACCAAGTCTGTTCTGCCTACAGCTCTGCTTCCTCATAGCTGCTTTCCAGAACGTGACTCTTGCAAATTATCAAGAAAGGGGAACTAATCTAAGGGATCCAGATCAAACAGCCTCATGAAGACTTATTTTATGTTTCTAATATAAAGATAGAAGTTTTCAGAAAAGCCCTGGTAAGTTTCTAATCATTAAAGTCTTGTTTAATCAACTCTCTTTAAAAGCTATCTTTAAAAACTAATTATAAAAAGTAAAACAGAACTTTGAAAATGAACATACTTGCAAGTGTGCATAAGCTATTTCTTATGAAACCATTTTAAAAGGAATGAGAAATATCACTATTTTTATATGAGAATCAATAGATGTAACTTGTGCTGATTGCAGAATTTTTAAACAAGAAACTTTCCAGCAAGCATGGTGACGGTGCAGCATATTTCTAGAGGTGGAAAGCTCTGGGGTGAGGCTAAAAAACCTGGGTAAAACATAGACCAGGAGATCAGGAATCCAAGCATACAAAACCATGTAGAAAATTGTAGCCATGTGCAGCTATGCCATACTCTGTCCTATAAGTTACATTTAATTAAAGAATAAAATCCTCCAAGGTTTAGCCATCATTTTATGTAAGACTTTTATGCACATCTAGCTTGTATAGAGACTATGGGAGGAAATACATAATTTGAACTTGCACTTCAAGAAAATAAAACTAACTTTTGCTTTGCGATTTCAGCTACACAGAGGATCAGAGCAGGGGTGGGCCTGCTGGGCTGCAGCTGGGATTCTGAGCATCCTTTCCCGGAGGCACGGAAAGTGAGTGAGTGAGCCCAGTGAGGTGAGTGAGCCCAGTGAGGCCCAGCCTCCTAGACATGATGGTGAGCACCAGAGCTTGCCAAGGGCAGGCCAGTTTGATCCTTCCTGCTTAGTCCCTAAAGAGAGAAAAATAATAGTCCTTAGGCAGTAGATCCTAAAATTTATTATCTGTAGGGGATCCATTCCAGGACCTGCGCAGATACCAAAACCTGTACATGCTCAAATCCCTAATGTGAAATGGCAAGGTATTTGCATATAACCTATACACATCCTCCCGTGTACTTTGAGTCATCTCTAGATTAGTTATAATGCCTAATACAATGTAATATTATATAGTTGTTATACCGTATTTATTGTTTAGGGAATAGTGACAATAAAAACAAGTCTTTACATTTTCAGTACAGATGCAATTTTTTTTTCAAATATTTTCAATCTGTGGTTGATTGAACCCACAGATGTGGTACCCACTGATAGGGAGGGCCCAGTGTACAAATAAAGAGAACTCTGTGTTTCAAAATTATCCCAGAACAGAATAGAGTTAAGGTGAAGGTCTTCTGCCCAGCTCCAACCAGAGCAGCTACACCTTTATCCATGTTAGATACAGTGGTTTCAGGTGCATTTATTTGAAGAAGCAGAACAAAAACAAGCAATAGCTAAGACAACACTAGTTCTGGTCCAATTTTCCTATATTATAAGTGGGAAAACAGGCTCACTGAGAGGAGACATAATTTAATCGTGACATCATTTTTCTGATCACAACTCCTCCACCTTTATACACACTGTGTAGCTTCTTGCTAAACATGAAAGCCCTCATGTTTAAAACTATGCCTGCAGTCTAGGGTGTAAGGTTTAAGTCACAGAAAGAGCCAAAGGGTTATGTCAAAGCATTATTAAAGACTTTTGCCCAAATCACTGTCACCTGAATTAAATAACAGTTCCAACTACCTATGGATTATAGATCATATAAGATGCTTATAATTGACAGAGGGCAAAATTCACATGAAAGTAATATTGAATACATAATAGCTTCAAGTTGTTAAATATATTCTCAGCTACCAATGGGAAATGGTGGAATTCTGGCTGAGAAATATTTTTATGTTATATGTTATCATACTAACACATGATGTAGTAACAGAAGAAAAGTGAAGAAGCAGGTCGGTAGGTAGATGTGGTTTCAGGAGTTTGGAGAAGCTCTCTTTGGATTCCTTCAATTCTGCTGGTTTAAACAGGAAGCAAGGTGACCGTGGTGAGGAGGTGTTGTAGGTTTGATGAGAGAGGAGAAACAATGAAATGATCATTTAGGAGAATAAAAGAGTGATTAAAGCAGAGAAATAGAGCATGGTAGCTGAGAGCATTAAGGTGGGACCAGTTATGGTATGGAGGGCCACTGTCCAGCCATGTTCCAGTCAGGGTGTGAAGGGCCATTGTCCAGTATACTCCAGTCAGGGTGTGGAGGGCCATTGTCCAGCCATGTTCCAGTCAGGGTGTGGAGTCTTTATCTTTGAACCATTGGGAAACCTCTAAGACAAGGTAAAGATAAAAAGACTCGAGGCTTGAGGAGCACAGATGCCAGTCACCCTATTTGAGAAGGGTGTTTCTATCTCCATGGTAGTTCCTGACAGAAGTCAATCAATAAAGAAGAAAGTGAGGGAAAGCTGTCATGCTGTCAGGTAACACAAAGACACAAAGACAATCCCTCTGCTATCCCCCACGCAACCACCCGGCAAACACAGTGTCTCTGGGCATGTAATGGTTGCTAAGCAGGAAATTCCTAAAACGCTGCTTCTTGTAGAGCGCTGGTGTCTATAAGAATTGCTGTAGCCACAGAAGGGAAAAATCTAGAGTTCTTCCTTATAGTATTTGGGGTGACCCAAAGAAAGGATGGGTAGCTTGAATTACTGAGAGAGGACACTGGCTAGGAGAAGATACTGCCTCACACCTAAACAGAGCCACTCTATGGTGACAGTAAGAGCATCTCCAGAGGAGGGTTTGTTGCCTAAAGCAGCAACAGCAGTTAAAACAGTGGAAGGTGACCCTGAAGCCCTGGGGTTCTGGCTTACTGAGGACCTAGGGTAGAAAGAGATCTCCTCCAGGGAAAACCCTATCTGAGAAAAATGCTCACTCAGGGACTGTGAGACACCAAAACCTGAGGAGAAGTGTTAGAAAACTGGAGCTTACAATAGGACATCAAGTCTCTGTAATTTGCCTGTTAGATGAAGAATAAAATGTTTACTGACTTTTCTTTCTGAAAAGTAAACTCTTTTCTTACTAATTATGACTGGCTAATCCAGATGCTGGAGTTGGTTTTGGTCTCATCGATGACAACATGAAGATATTTCCCAAATACAATTCAATTGTTTCACTAATCTAAAAATGTTAATTTCCTCATTCAACAAATATTTATTGAGTGCTTATTTTATGTCAGGCCCTGGTGATTCATGCATGAATGACAGGCAAAAATGTCTGTTCTCATGGAGGTTATATTCCAGTTGCTGACACAGAATGAGAAATATAATTAAGTGAAATGTATAGTACATAAATCTAAAGTGAAAACTTGAAGCAGGGAAGAGCAATGGAAAGTGCTGGAGGAAGGACTGAAATTTTAAGAAAGATGAGCAAGAAAGGCCTTATTGAATTTGAGTAAAGAGCTAAAAAGGTGAGGGTGTGAGCTGTGTTGGCATCTGGAGGAAGAGCATTCCAAGCAGAGGGAACAGGTAGTGCAAAGGCCTCGTGTAGCTGCATGGCTGCCATGTTTGAGGAACAGTAAGACAACTGGGCAGCTGGAGGGAAGTGAGCAGAAGTAATGAGGTCAAAAAGACAGTGGGGTGGACATATCATGTCAGACCTTATTTAAGGACTTTGGCTTTTACTCCATGCGAGATGAGAAGTCAGATAAAAGTTTTGAGCAGAGGACACTGACTAAGAGTCAGTGACATGATCACACTTACACTTTTGAACAGGACCAGGTTGGCTGTTGTGTTGAAAATAGAGTGAATGGCATGGTGGTGGGGCAAAGCCAGAGTCAAAGAGACCAGGTAACAAAAATAATCCAGGAAAGAGATGATGGCCTAGAACAGGGTGGTAGCAGTAGGGATAGTGGGAAAGGGTGGAATTATGGATATACTGTGAAGGTGTGATTGAAAGTATTTGCTAATACAATGAGTGAAAAAAAAAGCAGTAAAAAATGCTGCCAAGGTTTTTGCCTTGAACAATTGACAAGTTCCATTAACTGATAAGACTGTAGGAGGAGCAAGTTTGGAGTGGGAGGGGCATATATCAGGAGATCAATTTTGGCCATGTTCGTTTTAGGACTGTCATATACCTAGGTGAACATAGAGAAGGCAGATATATGGACATCATGGCAGAAGCCAGGGCCGATCATGTTAATTTGGAAGTCACAGGCATACAGATTGCGTTTAAATGCAAGATAGATGAGATTCATAGGGAGAAACTCTAGATAAAACTCTAGATAGAAAAGAGGCTAGGTCTGAGAGGCACGTCAACATTTAGAGGTGGAGAGTTAAGGAAGAACCAGCAGAGGAAACTGAGAAGGACTAGCCAGAAAAGGAGGAGGAAAAATCAGGAAAGGTAGTGTCCCAAAAGCCTGCAAGGAGAGTGATCCAAGGAAAAGAGAGCAATCACTTGTTTCAAGTGCTGCTGTTCTGTCAAGAACTGTCTGTAGCAATACCAAGTGCAATTTTAGTGGAGGAGTGAGGCCAAAGCCTGATTGGAGTGCCTTCTAAAGTGAGTGGAAGAAGAGAAACAGGAAACAGAAAGTGTAGACAGATCTACTGTGAAGAAAAGCACAAATGTGGGGAAGAGTTGTTTCCAAAGAGTCTTGCTTAACATGAAAAAAATAAACATGCTTGATTGCTGAAGGAGATCTAGTAGATGAGGAAAGACTGAAGAAGCCAAATAGAGTGGGGACACTTTCTGGAGCAACTTCCTGAATAGGTGAGAGGGATGCAAGGGCTACTGCAAGTGGAGAGGTTGACCTCACTAGGCATGTGGGCAGAACATGCAGAGAACAGAAACTAACATATGATGTAGTAACAGAAGAAAAGTGAAGACGCAGGTTGATGGGTAGATGTGGTTTCAGGAGTTTGGAGAAGCTCTCTTTGGATTCCTTCAATTCTGCCGGTTTAAATGGGAAACAAGGTGACCGTGGTGAGGAGGTGTTGTAAGTTTGATGAGAGAGGAGAGACAGTGAAATGATTGTTTAGGAGAATAAGAGAGTGACTACTGCAAGTGAAGAGGTTGACTAACGCAGAGAAATAAAGCATGGTAGCTGACAGCATTAAGGTGAGACCAGTCATGGTATGGAGGGCCATTGTCCAGCCATGTTCCAGTCAGGGTGTGGAGGGCCATTGTCCAGCAATTCTCCAGTCAGGGTATGGAGGGCCACTGTCCAGCATGCTCCAGTTAGGGTGTGGAGGGTCATTGTCCAGCCATGTTCCAGTCAGGGTGTGGAGGGCCATTGTCCAGCATGCTCCAGTCAGAGTATGAAGGGCCATTGTTCAGCATGCTCCAGTCAGTGTGGAGGCCCATTGTCCAACCATGTTCCAGTCAGGGTATGGAGGGCCATTGTCCAGCATGCTCCAGTCAGGGTGCAGAGGGCCATTGTCCAGCCATGTTCCAGTCAGGGTATGGAGGGCCATTCTCCAGCCATGCTCTGACAAGCTGTTGGGGACTGAGTGGGGACTGAGTGGGGACTGAGTGGTGGATGTAACTAGCATTGTAGTTTAACTATAAGAGTGTACCAGAGAGGAGAAAAATAAGTCATGATAATGAATAATCAAAGAAATATTAAGTCAGTAAAAGAGGAAAAGTGAAACATGAATGGAGTGAGGAAAAGTGAGACAGTAGTAGAATCAATAGATCAAAGGTGTTGGTGGTAAAGAAATACTTACTAGTGTTTGAGCACTAAAGGCAGTGGGTCTGAGGGGCAGGAGATGGTGGGGACAGGGAAGTGTTTGAAACAGAGAGGACGGAGGGCTTGTAGTTCTCAGTAACCGTATTTATTGGCTAGAGCTGCCATAACAAAGTAGCACAGAGTCACTTCAACAACAGAAATGTATTATCTCAGAACCCTTGCAACTAGAAGTCCAAGATCAAGCTATTGGCAGGGAGGGTTCCTTCTGAGGGCTGCAAGGGAGAATTTCTTCCATGCCTCTCACAGTAGCATGCTGGCAATCTTTGGTGATTCTTGGCTTGTAGAAACATCACACTAACCTCTGCCTTCGTCTTCACATACTGTTCTCCCGGTGTGTAAGCAAGCCTCTGTGCCCAAGTTTCCCCTTTTCACAAAAACCTCAGTCATATTGGATTAGGGTCCACTATAACTTCATGTCAACTAATTACATCTACAACAATCCTGTCTCCAAATAAAGTCACATTCTAAGGTGCTGGAGGTTAGGACTTCAGTGCCTGAACTTTGGCGCGATATAATTCAATCCATAATAGTAATGATAAGGTCAAGGATATGACCGTGGGAATAGAGGTGGGTTGATGTCAAGATAAAAGTCGATCGGGTGAGAGGCCATTGTATTGGAAGGATCAATGACATGTCTATTGAGCCACCAATAATTATGACAGAAATGGTATCTGAGGACACAAGTGTCCTCTTCCCTTCAGCTTCCTACATTTTAATACAAAATGTATTTAATACAAAATATATTAAAATGTCTAAAAACTGTATAAAATATATAAAAAGTAAGTATTCAGCAAATTTTCAAAGTATGAAATATCTTAAGACTAAGATTTAAAATACTATGGTAGTTATCTCATATGTAATGACTTCAAAAAAGTTTTCATTAAGGATATGTTTATTAATAACTGCTTATACTATTGGTTTTATATAATGCTTGTAAAAAGGTGAGGCAGGGCCCCTCTGTCGGTCTTACCTGAGATGACACTTAGGGCCTCGGCAGAGAGATGGGAATATCAGGGATGAGCCTACCGGGCTCCCAAGCTCCATCTGCCCTGGAGTACTCTATGGCAGGCCCAGTGCCCTGGCTCTGGGTGCAAGAGTAGGAGCTGCCCACTGCTGGAACAGCGCTATGTCATACCCCTTAGACCCACTAAAGGGGCCTTTGGCAGGTCCACCAAGTAGACTATTTCTTATTCCCTAACTCTGTCCCCCAGGCTTTCTCCCTCAATTGCCTCCCACATGACTCCAGCAGTTCCCTTAACTTCACCTGCCCAATGTTCCCACTCTCTTCTTCCTCATATATCCTAGGCCTAGACTCCTTCTTGTGTCTGACAAAAAGCACTACCACACTTTGTCAGTACAAACTTTTCTGAGTGTGTGTGTGTGTGTGTGACTTATTTCCTTTTTTTATCTTCTCCAATGGACAATAAATGTCATGAACGAGCTTCACATCTGTTTTGATTATCACTGTTTTTCCTGAGCATGATGCCTGGTACATAATTGGTGCTCATTAAATATGTGTAGAATGAATGAACAGATGACACTACTTAAGATAAATAACACTTATCGCTAGTTACAATATATGGGCTAATTTTTGTGGGACTCCTTAAGACCCACAAGTGACTTCTGTCTACACTACAGATGAACTGAATTGATCATCTAAAATACGTTTATAGCGTTCATTGTGCCAGTTGCTCATGGTTCTGCTAATTGGCCCAGGACTAGTTGTGATCTGCAGACTGAAGCCAGAGTAAGTAAGAGAATTCAAGGCACTAAGACAACCAGGAACAGTTTTACCAAGGCAAGTGGAAGCTGCTAGGCTCAGTGGTTGCATGCCTATAGATGGGGTAAATCATCCTGGTGCAAATATGGTATTCACACCATAAATGTGTAGTGCAAGTTTCCTCTGTGGCCAATCACAGGGCTGCAAGCTGAAGCCCCAGTTTAGCTTATTCTCCATACATAACTTCAAGGGGACTTTCTGGTGAACTTTTCCAAGAAGCTCCAAGCACAGATGGTTCAAATTTGCAGTTTGGCTAGACTTTGTGACTGGATGTACATTAAATTAAAAAAAAAAAAAAAAAAAAAACTTAGGTTCCTTAAACCTAAGGAACCTAAAAATTACAAATCATTTAAAACAGCAGTCCCCAATCTTTTTGGAACCAGGGACCAGCTTCATGGGAGACAATTTTTCCACAGGGTAGTGGGGGATGGTTTTGAGTTTATTCAAGGGCATTACATTTTGTGTGCACTTTATTTCTATTATTATTACATTGTAAAATATAATGAAATTATTATACAACTCACCATAATGTAGACTCAGTGGGAGCCCTGAGCTTGTTTTCCTGCAACTAGATGGTCCCATTTGGGGTGATGGGACAGAGTGACTGATCATCAGGCATTAGATTCTCATAAGGAGTGTGCAGCCTGGATCCCTTATATGCACAGTTCACAACAAGGTTTTCACTCCTATGAGAAACTAATGCCACCACTGATCTGATGGGATGTGGAGCTCAGGCAGTAATGCAAGATATGGTGAGAGGCTGTAAATACAGATGAAGCTTTGCCAGCTCACCCATCAGCCAGTCACCTCTTGCTGTGCAGCCCAGTTTCTAACAGGCTAGAGACTGGTACTGGTCCAGGTCCCCAGATTTGGAGACCCCTAGTTTAAAATGCTTGTATTTTATCTTTTTATAGTTTAGTGTTTTTGTTTCATTTGATCCTTAATGTTTTTTTTGTCTGTCCGTAAAATATTCTTTCTGATTTTCTGTTTACTTAAACCAATTAATTGATTTATCTTTTAAATTCTGATTCAGTAGGTCTAAGTGGGGGCCTGAGAATTTACATTTCTAGCCAGCTTCTAAGTGATGCTGATGCTGCTAGTTTGGAGACCACACCTTAAGAACCACTGCTGTTGGTCTTGTCTGCACAGTAGATGCACCAAGGCAAATGTTTAGAAGTACTAATGCCTGAAAACACCACCCTCACTCCCTCAACCAACTAATGCAGTCTCAGGTGTGGAATGCCAAGTAATTCTAATGTTTAACCAAGGTTAAGAACCCCTGTTCTAGGAGTCCAAAATAGGCAGCTCTTGCCATTCATCAAAGTACATAGTTGTAGGATCTTCATTAGCCTCATATCAATAATTTAGGTGAAAATGGCTCTAACAAAATTAAAAACTCATACTATTTTCCCTATCTAGTTTCAGGGAGCCCAGCTTGAATTATAGCTAGTCTCTTTTGGTACCTTCTGAGAACACAAGAATTAGCCAATCAAATCAATTATCCTGACATTTTGCTACCACATTCCCCCAAACCCTAGCCTTGTGGCCTAACAGCTTGAGTTCCAAAAGAAAACAGATTATTTAACCAACTGCTCTGTTACTATGTAACAAAGATAGCCAGCTGTGGATTCCTGTTCCTCAACCCACTTCTACCTATCCAGTTTCATTATTTTAAAGTTTATTTGCAATATTCCTATATGCTACGGAAACCAATTTCTATGTTACTTAAGATTCTGCTTTTAAGTCACAAAACCCCAACTTTCACCAAGTTAAGCTAAAAGGGAGAATTATTATAAGGCTAAAAGGTGTGTCACCAGTTAGCAGCTATAGCTTATTTCATAATTACAATTAGAGTCACCTAAGAAACAAGGGTATGAATTAGGATGGTAAAATAGCTAAAGTAAGTATCAAGCAGTTTTAAGAGTCAGCCTTTAGCAATATTATACATATATATATGTATCTTCTGTATGATAATGTATACATAATTGTCTATGTGATTTTAAAAATAAAGTATAATTCTAAAATACTTATTATATTGCTTTGTCTCAGGAAGAAGTTGAAGCTTTGATATGAGTAAACAAGTATCTCTACCTGAAATGATTAAAGACTGGACCAAAGAGCATGTGAAAAAATGGGTAAATGAAGACCTTAAGATTAATGAGCAATACGGGCAAATTCTGCTCAGTGAAGAAGTAACAGGATTAGTCCTGCAGGAATTAACTGAGAAGGACCTTGTAGAAATGGGGCTACCATGGGGTCCAGCACTTTTGATAAAACGTTCATACAACAAATTGAATAGTAAGTCCCCTGAAAGTGACAATCATGATCCGGGACAATTAGATAATTCAAAACCGTCCAAAACAGAACACCAGAAAAATCCAAAACACACCAAAAAGGAAGAAGAAAATTCAATGTCATCTAATATTGATTATGATCCCAGAGAGATCAGAGATATCAAACAAGAAGAATCAATTCTTATGAAAGAAAATGTGTTAGATGAAGTAGCAAATGCTAAACACAAGAAAAAGGGTAAGCTAAAACCTGAACAATTGACTTGTATGCCATATCCTTTTGATCAGTTCCATGACAGCCATCGCTACATAGAACATTATACTCTACAACCTGAAACAGGAGCACTCAATCTCATTGATCCAATACATGAGTTCAAAGCTCTCACAAACACAGAAACAGCCACGGAAGTGGACATTAAGATGAAATTCAGCAATGAAGTCTTCCGATTTGCATCAGCTTGTATGAATTCACGCACCAATGGCACCATCCATTTTGGAGTCAAGGACAAACCCCATGGAGAAATTGTTGGTGTGAAAATCACCAGTAAGGCTGCCTTCATTGACCACTTCAATGTAATGATCAAAAAGTATTTTGAAGAAAGTGAGATCAATGAAGCCAAGAAGTGTATTCGGGAGCCAAGGTTTGTGGAAGTCCTTCTGCAGAACAATACACCATCTGACAGATTTGTCATTGAAGTTGATACTATTCCAAAACACTCTATATGTAATGATAAGTATTTCTACATTCAGATGCAAATTTGTAAAGATAAAATATGGAAACAAAACCAAAATCTTTCACTGTTTGTAAGAGAAGGGGCTAGCTCTAGGGATATCCTGGCCAATTCCAAGCAACGGGATGTAGATTTCAAGGCATTTTTACAAAATTTAAAGTCACTGGTAGCATCTAGAAAAGAGGCTGAAGAAGAGTATGGAATGAAGGCAATGAAGAAGGAGAGTGAAGGACTAAAGCTGGTTAAACTTCTCATAGGAAACCGAGACTCACTGGATAATTCATACTATGACTGGTACATTCTTGTAACAAATAAATGCCATCCAAACCAAATAAAGCACTTAGATTTTTTAAAAGAAATTAAATGGTTTGCTGTGTTGGAGTTTGATCCTGAATCTATGATCAATGGAGTGGTCAAAGCTTACAAAGAAAGTCGGGTGGCAAACCTTCACTTTCCAAATCAATATGAAGACAAGACAACTAACATGTGGGAGAAGATTTCTACTCTTAATCTTTACCAACAGCCCAGCTGGATTTTCTGCAACGGCAGATCAGACCTGAAAAGCGAGACATATAAACCTCTAGAACCACATTTATGGCAGAGAGAAAGAGCTTCAGAAGTCAGGAAACTAATTTTATTTCTCACAGATGAAAATATAATGACAAGAGGAAAATTTTTGGTAGTGTTTCTATTACTCTCTTCAGTGGAAAGCCCAGGAGATCCACTCATTGAAACTTTCTGGGCTTTCTATCAAGCTCTCAAAGGAATGGAAAATATGTTGTGTATCTCTGTAAACTCACATATTTATCAACGATGGAAAGATCTACTACAAACAAGAATGAAGATGGAAGATGAACTAACAAACCACAGTATTTCCACTTTAAATATAGAACTGGTAAACAGCACTATCCTTAAACTAAAATCGGTGACTCGGTCATCAAGAAGGTTTTTGCCCGCCCGTGGATCTTCTTCAGTTATCCTAGAGAAAAAGAAAGAGGATGTCTTGACTGCACTGGAAATCCTCTGTGAAAATGAGTGTACAGAGACAGACATCGAGAAAGACAAATCTAAATTCCTGGAGTTTAAGAAATCAAAAGAAGAACACTTTTATCGAGGTGGCAAAGTATCCTGGTGGAACTTCTATTTTTCTTCTGAAAACTATTCTTCAGATTTTGTTAAAAGGGACAGTTATGAAAAGCTTAAAGATTTAATACACTGCTGGGCAGAGTCTCCTAAACCAATATTTGCAAAAATCATCAATCTTTATCATCATCCAGGCTGTGGAGGTACCACACTGGCTATGCATGTTCTCTGGGACTTAAAGAAAAACTTCAGATGTGCTGTGTTAAAAAACAAGACAACTGATTTTGCAGAAATTGCAGAGCAAGTGATCAATCTGGTCACCTATAGGGCAAAGAGCCATCAGGATTACATTCCTGTGCTTCTCCTTGTGGATGATTTTGAAGAACAAGAAAATGTCTACTTTCTACAAAATGCCATCCATTCCGTTTTAGCAGAAAAGGATTTGCGATATGAAAAAACATTGGTAATTATCTTAAACTGCATGAGATCCCGGAATCCAGATGAAAGTGCAAAATTGGCAGACAGTATTGCACTAAATTACCAACTTTCTTCCAAGGAACAAAGAGCTTTTGGTGCCAAACTGAAGGAAATTGAAAAGCAGCACAAGAACTGTGAAAACTTTTATTCCTTCATGATCATGAAAAGCAATTTTGATGAAACATATATAGAAAATGTAGTCAGGAATATCCTAAAAGGACAGGATGTTGACAGCAAGGAAGCACAACTCATTTCCTTCCTGGCTTTACTCAGCTCTTATGTTACTGACTCTACAATTTCAGTTTCACAGTGTGAAATATTTTTGGGAATCATATACACTAGTACACCCTGGGAACCTGAAAGCTTAGAAGACAAGATGGGAACTTATTCTACACTTCTAATAAAAACAGAAGTTGCAGAATATGGGAGATACACAGGTGTGCGTATCATTCACCCTCTGATTGCCCTGTACTGTCTAAAAGAACTGGAAAGAAGCTATCACTTGGATAAATGTCAAATTGCATTGAATATATTAGAAGAGAATTTATTCTATGATTCTGGAATAGGAAGAGACAAATTTCAACATGATGTTCAAACTCTTCTGCTTACAAGACAGCGCAAGGTGTATGGAGATGAAACAGACACTCTGTTTTCCCCATTAATGGAAGCTTTACAGAATAAAGACATTGAAAAGGTCTTGAGTGCAGGAAGTAGACGATTCCCACAAAATGCATTCATTTGTCAAGCCTTAGCAAGACATTTCTACATTAAAGAGAAGGACTTTAACACAGCTCTGGACTGGGCACGTCAGGCCAAAATGAAAGCACCTAAAAATTCCTATATTTCAGATACACTAGGTCAAGTCTACAAAAGTGAAATCAAATGGTGGTTGGATGGGAACAAAAACTGTAGGAGCATTACTGTTAATGACCTAACACATCTCCTAGAAGCTGCGGAAAAAGCCTCAAGAGCTTTCAAAGAATCCCAAAGGCAAACTGATAGTAAAAACTATGAAACCGAGAACTGGTCACCACAGAAGTCCCAGAGACGATATGACATGTATAACACAGCTTGTTTCTTGGGTGAAATAGAAGTTGGTCTTTACACTATCCAGATTCTTCAGCTCACTCCCTTTTTCCACAAAGAAAATGAATTATCCAAAAAACATATGGTGCAATTTTTATCAGGAAAGTGGACCATTCCTCCTGATCCCAGAAATGAATGTTATTTGGCTCTTAGCAAGTTCACATCCCACCTAAAAAATTTACAATCAGATCTGAAAAGGTGCTTTGACTTTTTTATTGATTATATGGTTCTTCTGAAAATGAGGTATACCCAAAAAGAAATTGCAGAAATCATGTTAAGCAAGAAAGTCAGTCGTTGTTTCAGGAAATACACAGAACTTTTCTGTCATTTGGATCCATGTCTATTACAAAGTAAAGAGAGTCAATTACTCCAGGAGGAGAATTGCAGGAAAAAGCTAGAAGCTCTGAGAGCAGATAGGTTTGCTGGACTCTTGGAATATCTTAATCCAAACTACAAAGATGCTACCACCATGGAAAGTATAGTGAATGAATATGCCTTCCTACTGCAGCAAAACTCAAAAAAGCCCATGACAAATGAGAAACAAAATTCCATTTTGGCCAACATTATTCTGAGTTGTCTAAAGCCCAACTCCAAGTTAATTCAACCACTTACCACGCTAAAAAAACAACTCCGAGAGGTCTTGCAATTTGTAGGACTAAGTCATCAATATCCAGGTCCTTATTTCTTGGCCTGCCTCCTGTTCTGGCCAGAAAATCAAGAGCTAGATCAAGATTCCAAACTAATAGAAAAGTATGTTTCATCCTTAAATAGATCCTTCAGGGGACAGTACAAGCGCATGTGCAGGTCCAAGCAGGCAAGCACACTTTTCTATCTGGGCAAAAGGAAGGGTCTAAACAGTATTGTTCACAAGGCCAAAATAGAGCAGTACTTTGATAAAGCACAAAATACAAATTCCCTCTGGCACAGTGGGGATGTGTGGAAAAAAAATGAAGTCAAAGACCTCCTGCGTCGTCTAACTGGTCAGGCTGAAGGCAAGCTAATCTCTGTAGAATATGGAACAGAGGAAAAAATAAAAATACCAGTAATATCTGTTTATTCAGGTCCACTCAGAAGTGGTAGGAACATAGAAAGAGTGTCTTTCTACCTAGGATTTTCCATTGAAGGCCCTCTGGCATATGATATAGAAGTAATTTAAGACAATACATCACCTGTAGTTCAAATACGTTTATTTATATCTTTATGATTTTATTCTCTCTCTCTATTCTCATGGCACTTTCATAACATTATGGCTAACCTCTAATTACAGATTTTGCTTTTGCCTCCCTGAATGAATTACAAGCCTTTTTAAGATATGAAATATGCCTACCCGCAGAGCTTGGCACAAAGTGGAGTCAATCTTTTAATGTTTTAAATATGCATTTTCAGACTCAAATAATTAAGAAGTTTCATTGATATCCACTGGTCACATCATAACTGTCTATAGGGCAATAAAATCTGTGTTAAACTCAATTGCTTTTATAAGTTTTCTAAATTATTTCTTCACTGTGACAGCAAAGATTTAAATAAGATGAATGTAAAAGAGAAAGCTTATTGGACTCAAACCCACAGATCCACACCAGAGTTCTATTTACCTCATCTTGGTATCAATAAAAACTTATGTGGAAGGTAAATATATTGTTCCCCATCCACCACATAACACTCTCCCCAACACACACACACACACACACACACACACACACACACACACACACTCCTTGTACCCCTTGCCCTTCTCCCAGCTCATTGCTCCAGGAGAGAGAAGAGTTCAAAAAATAAAGTAATCATAAACTTGAACTCTCTCCATTCTCTTGTTCCCATTTACAGGTGAATCTCTTCCTTTAAGCCATTTTTGTCTCCTGTGAATACAGCCTTATCTCCACCTGTTTCTTAGATCCCATCTCCCCTGGCTTATTTTTTCCATTCATTACCCTCTTTGTTCCCTTTACTTCTCAACCTGTGCTATATACATGCTGTTCTCTCTGTTGAGATTGCCTTATTTCCATCTAACATTCTCTCTCCTGCTATTCTGATTTGTCATTCACAACTGATTTCAAGAGTCACCTTCACCAGGAAGTCTTCCTTGACCACCATCATTCCTGCCTGATTAGAGGGCTTCCTCATGGTAATATGTGTTCTCAAGTTTTCAGTGTCAAGGAATGCCATCCCAGAAGCTCATTCTCAGATGCACAACAGCCAGAACAGTCTCAAGCAGCATTCTAGAGCTTGGAATTTAAGAACTACGCATTGCCTATAAAGTGAAACATAGGCTAATATAGATTAAATTGAATATTGAATAAAAAATATATTTATTTATCCACATCTTTGTATCTCTTTGTAATGTAACTTAGATATTCTGGACTCCAAACCCAATTCTTCTTGTCATCAAGAAGTCTATGCTCTATCAGGGTTCTTCTGGCCTATATTTCTATGAATCTGGGCAACGCTCACATGGTCCAGAACATGTCCCTCTTTCTGAAAGCTGTGTCTGCTGCTGACCCTGCTCCAAACAGTTGCCTCCCTCTTCTGCAGTCCACCAGTCCATACAGTAACAGGATCTCCCAAGTGGCTATACTCCCCAAGTTGTTCATAGGCCTGGGGACATAGGCCTGATCCTATTTCTTTTAAACTCCCCTGCTGGACTATAACATTTAGTAAGACATAACTAAAGGCTTGATGTAGAGAAAAAAGTTATAATGAAAGGAGGAAAAACTACTAAATATTCCTGCTAACCATAATTATCTTTAGAGTTAATAATTCTGACCCCACCACCAGGTATCTTAGAGAGCTTCCTTCTCCTTAGCCCCCATTTCAACAGCCATGCTATAGAGTGATCTTTTCTCATTCTTCTGAATGCAACAACACCTAAACGTGAATGCTTGACTTAGAGAGTAGGATGCAAACCCTTTGATGCCCCCAGAAATAATTACATTCTTCCTGAAAAGAAATATAGTGTAATATGCAAAATGTCACCCCACCCTTAATGAGGAGAAGGTCTTACATTACTCTGCAGAGAAGTTTATGAACCTCAAAAATCTGAGACAGGTCTCAGTTAATTTAGAAAGTTTATTTTGCCAAGGTTGAGGATGTACATCTGTGACACAGCCTCAGAAGGTCCTGATAACATGTTCCCAAGGTGCACAGCTTGGTTTTATATATTTTAGGGAGACATGAGACATCAATCAATATATGTAAGATGTACATTGGTTCCGTCCAGAAAGGAGGGACAACTCAAGAAGGGAGGGAGCTTCCAGGCCACAGGTAGGTGAGAGAAAAACAGTTGCATTCTTTTCAGTTTCTGATTAACCTTTCCAAAGAAGGCAATCAGATATGCATTTTCCTCAGTGAGCAGAGGGATGACTTTGAATAGAATGGGAAGCAGGTTTGCCCTAAGCAGTTCCCAGCTTGACTTTTCCCTTTAGGTTAGTGATTTTGGGGGGCCCAAGATTTTCAAGATTTACTTTCCTTTCACATTTCCCCCCTTATCTTTTTTAAAATCTTCGGAGAAAGCATTTTAGAAGAAAATGAGTCTCTGGTCTCAGGTTTCATCTGGCCTCTCATGGCTAAAATGGTTCATTCCTAGACAGTTAGGTCCCAAGTTATTAGGAAAGCTTATTTTTAGCAAGTTGAGAAGTCTCATGTCCTATGCAGAGAAAACAGGGGGAGAGAGAAAAACTACAAGATATAAAAGAACAATCCTGGTAAATCGATATAGGTCACATTACTCTGAAGCCCGTATATCAGTAGGCAGGTTTGAAAGTGGCTTATGTATGTAAATAGGCTGCTGTTATTTCCTTTTGAAGTTTAAGTTATCTAGCATCAGGTCACAGGGCTTTACAAAAGCACAACTTAGTTTTCAGTGACTCCAAATGAGGAAAAATGGGGGGAAAAAGAAGGGAAAAAAATGAAAACATTATTTTGAAAACTTGTACCCAAGAAACATTAGAATTCAGCCCAAACTGTAGAAAATAATAAAAATTGAAAAATATTAGGCAAGACTAGAATCCAACAACAGATGTACCATAGTTTTTGAAACATAATTTTTCTCTCTCCAGTTTCCCATTTTTACTAAAGACACATCATGGTAGGACCGATTTGCTTTGTTGCACTTAGCCAGATTATTTGTATAAAGTGCAGCAAGAATAATTATTTTTCACATAGGCTTTTTAAATTGGCTTTGATGGAACTTTGTTCCATAGAAGGCATCTCAGATCAGCCTTTATTTTTTGTTTTTGGGTTTTTTTTTTTTTGCGATGGAGTCTCGCTCTGTCACCCAGGCTGGAGTGCAATGGTGCAATCTCAGCTCACTGCAACCTCTGCCAACTGGGTTCAAGTGATTCTCCTGCCTCAAACTGCCCAGCCATGTTTTATACCATCAAATACCTATGAGTTGGGTGAATTCTTCTCCCCTTGAGGTCCCAAGATAACTTGGGGCCCTGGGCCTGTCATAAAGTGTCATTCTTTATTTACCACAGGTCAGGAACCCTGTGCAGGGACTGTGTAGACAAGGTATAAGGCCAGTTTTCCCAAAAATCTTTTATTGGCTCTTTAGGGCAAGTTTGATTCTTTAAAGGAAAGCATGTCATTCCAGTCACAGCCTTGGTAAAATAACCAGTTTCTCCAATTGTGTCCTGTTACAAATGAAAACAAATTCTTATTGCACTTACATAAATAACTATACTGCCATAAATTAAGAATACTCAGAAATAGTTTCCAAATTCTGGAGAAATAAGGTAGAGAGAAACAAATATGCTCCAAATTTTGTTCATAGGAGTATACTTATTTGTAAAAAGCTGTCAATAGCTCAAAATAAAAGTTTCCTTGACTCTGAAAAACAAGACAAAGGATCAGCAACATTTTTTCAAATTTTTTCTTTTTTTCTTTATAATACTTTAAGTTCTGGATACATGTGCAGAATATGCAGGTTTGTTGCGCAGGTATACACATGCCATGATGGTTTGCTGCACTCATCAACCCATCATCTACATTAGGTTTTTTTCCTAATGCTATCCCTCCCCTAGCCTTCCACCCATCAACAGGCCCCAAGTGGTGTTCCCTTCCCTGTGTCCATATGTTCTCATTGTTCAATTCCCACTTACTAGTGAGAACATGCGGTATTTGGTTTTCTGTTCCTTTGTTAGTTTGCTGAGAATGATGGTTTCCAGCTTCATCCATGTCCCTGCAAAGGACATGAACTCATCCTTTTTTATGGCTGCATAGTATTCCATGGTGTGTATGTGCCACATTTTTTTAATCCAGTCTATCATTGCTGGGCATTTGGGTTGATTCCAAGTCTTTGCTATTGTGAACAGTGCTGCAATAAACATATGTGTGCATGTGTCTTTATAGTAGAATGATTTATAATTCTTTGGGTATATACCCAGGGTATATTGCAGGGTCAAATGGTATTTCTGCTTCTAGATCCTTGAGGAATCACCACACTGTCTTCCACAATAGTTGACTAATTTACACTCCACCAACAGTGTAAAAGTGTTCCTATTTCTCCACATCCTCTCCAGCATCTGTTGTTTCCTTTCTTTTTAATGATCACCATTCTAACTGTTGTGAGATGGTATCTCATTGTGGTTTGGATTTGCATTTCTCTAATGACCAGCAATTATGAGCTTTTTTTCATATGTTTGTTGGACACATAAATGTCTTCTTTTGAGAAATGTCTGTTCATATACTTCACCCACTTTTTGATTGGGTTGTTTGTTTTTTTCTTGTAAATTTGTTTAAGTTCCTTGTAGATTGTAGATATTAGCCCTTTGTCAGATGGATAGATTGCAAAACTTTTCTCCCATTCTGTATGTTGCCTGTTCGCTCCGATGACAGTTTATTTTGCTGTGCAAAGCTCTTTACTTTAATTAGATCCCATTTGTCAATTTTGGTTTTGTTGCCATTGCTTTTGGTGTTTTAGAAATGAAATCTTTGCCCATGCCTATGCCCTGAATGCTATTGCCTAGTTTTCTTCTAGGGTTTTTATGATTTTAGGTCTTATGTTTAAGTCTTTAATCCATCTTCAGTTAATTTTTGTACAAGGCATAAGGAAGGGGTCCAGTTTCAGTTTTCTGCATATGGCTAGCAAGTTTTCCCAACACCATTTATTACATAGGGAAACCTTTCCTCATTGCTTGTTTTTGTTTTTGTCAGGTTTGTCAAAGGTCAGATGGTTGTAGATGTGTGGCATTATTTCTGAGGCCTCTGTTCTGTTCCATTGTATGGAATGGAACATATCTATATCTCTGTTTTGGTACCAGTACCATGCTGTTTTGGTTACTGTAGCCTACACTGTAGTATAGTTTGAAGTCAGGTAGTGTGATGCCTCCAGCTTTGTTCTTTTTGCTTAGGACTGTCTTGGCTATACAGGCCCTTTTTTGGTTTCGTGTGAAATTTAATGTAGTTTTTAGTAATTCTGTGAAGAAAGTCAATGGTAGCTTGATGGGGATAGCATTGAATCTATAAATTACTTTGGGCAGTATGGCCATTTTCACGATACTGATTCTTCCTATCCATGAGCATGGAATGCTTTTCCATTTGTTTGTGTCCTCTCTTATTCCCTTGAGCAGTGGTTTGTAGTTCTCCTTGAAGAGGTCCTTCACATCCCTTGTAAGTTGGATTCCTAGGTATTTTATTCTCTTTGTAGCAATTGTGAATGGGAGTTCACTCATGATTTGGCTCTCTGTTTGTCTATTATTGGTGTATAGGAATGCTTGTGATTTTTGCACATTGATTTTGTATACTGAGACTGCTAAAGTTGCTTTTCAGTTTAAGGAGACTTTGGGCTGAGACGATGGGGTTTTCTAAATATACAATCATGTCATCTGCAAACAGAGACAATTTGACTTCCTCTATTCCTATTTGAACATCCTTTATTTCTTTCTCTTTCCTGATTGCCCTGACCAGAACTTCCAATACTATGTTGAATAGAAGTGGTGAGAGAGGGCATCCTTGTCTTGTGCCAGTTTTCAAAGCAAATGCTTCCAGCTTTTGCCTATTCAGTATGATATTGGCTCTGGGTTTGTCATAAATAGCTCTTATTATTTTGAGATACATTCCATCAATACCTAGCTTATTGGGAGTTTTTAGTATGAATGGGTGTTGAATTTTATCAAAGGCCTTTTCTGTATCTATTGAGATAATCATGTGGTTTTTGTCATTGCTTTTGTTTATGTGATGGATTACATTTATTGATTTGCATATATTGAACTAGCCTTGCATCTCAGGGATGAAGTTGACTTGATCGTGGTGGATAAGCTTTTCGATGTGCTGCTGGATTTGGTTTGCATTTTATCAAAGATTTTCGCATCAATGTTCATCAGGGATATTGGCCTGAAATTTTCTTTTTTTTTGTTGTGTCTCTGTCAGGTTTTGGTATCAGGATGATGTTGGCCTCATAAAATGAGTCAGGAAGGATTCCCTCTTTTTCTATTGATTGGAATAGTTACATAAGAAATGGTACCAGCTCCTCTTTGTACCTCTGGTAGAATTTGGCTGTGAATCTGTCTGGTCCTGGGCTTTTTTTGGTTGGTAGGCTATTAATTACTGCCTCAATTTCAGAAATTGTTATTGGTCTATTCAGGGATTCAACTTCTTTCTGGTTTAGTCTTGGGAGGGTGTTTCTGTCCAGGAATTCATCCAGTTCTTCTAGATTTTCTAGTTTATTTGCATAGAGGTGTTTATAGTATTCTCTGATGGTAGTTTGTATTTCTGTGGAATCAGTGATGGTATCCCCTTTATCTCTTTTTTATTGTGTCTATTTGATTCTTCTCTGTTTTCTTCGTTTTAGTCTGGCTAGTGGTCTATTTTGTTAATCTTTTCAAAAAAACGGTCCTGGATTCATTGATTCTCTAAAGGGCTTTTTGTGTCTCTATCTCCTTCAGTTCTGCTCTGATCTTAATTATTTCTTGTCTTCTGCTAGCTCTTGAATTTGTTTGCTCTTGCTTCTCTAGTTCTTTTAATTGTGATGTTCGGTGTCAATTTTAGATCTTTCCCACTTTCCCCTGTGGGAATTTAGTGCTAAAAATTTCCTTTTAAACGCTTCTTTAGCTGTGTCTCAGAGTTTCTGGTATGTTGTGTCTTTGTTCTCATTGGTTTCAGAGAAGTTATTTATTTCCGCCTTAATATTGTTATTCACCCAGTAGTCATTCAGAAGCAGGTTGTTTAATTTCCATGTAGTTGTGTGGTTTTGAGTCAATTTCTTAATCTTGAGTTCTAATTTGATTGCACTCTGGTCTGAGAGACTTTTTGTTATTATCTCTGTTCTTTTGCATTTGCTGAGGAGTGTTTTACTTCCAATTATGTGGTCAATTTTAGAATAAGTGTGATGTGGTACTGAGAAGAATGGCTGTTGATTTGTGTTAGAGAGTTCTGTAACTGTCTATTAGGTCTGCTTGGTTCAGAGCTGAGTTCAAGCCCTGAATTTCCTTGTTAATTTTCTGATTCATTGATCTGTCTAATATTGAGAATGGGGTGTTTAAGTCACCCATTATTATTGTGTGGGAGTCTAAGTCTCTTTGTAGGTCTCTAAAAACTTGCTTTATGAATTTTAGTGCTCCTGTATTGGGTGCATATATAGTTAGGATAGTTAGCTCTTCTTGTTGCATTTGATCCCTTTACCATTACGTAATGTCCGTCTTTGTCTTTTTTGATCTTTGTTGGTTTAAAGTTGTTTTATCAGAGACTGGGATTGCAACATGTGCTTTTTTTTTTCTTTCCATTTGCTTGGTAAATATTCCTCCGATCCTTTATTTTGAGCCTATGTGGGTCTTTGCATGTGAGATGGGTCTCCTGAATACAGCACACCTATATGTCTTGACTCTTTATCCAATTTGCCAGTCTGTGTCTTCTAATTGGGGCTTTTAGTCCATTTACATTTAAGGCTAATATTGTTATGTATAATTTTGATACTGTCATTATAATGCTAGATGGTTATTTTGCCTTTTAGTTGATACAGTTTCTTCTTACTGTCAACGGTCTTTACAATTTGGTATGTTTTTGCAATGACTGGTGCCAGTTTTTCCTTTCCATATTTAGTGCTTCCTTCAGGAACTCTTGTAAAGCAGGCCTGGTGTTGACAAAATCTCTCAGCATTTGCTTTTATGTAAAGGATTGTATTTCTCCTTCACTTATGAAGCTTAGTTTGGCTGGATATGAAATTCTGGGTTGAAAATTCTTTTCTTTAAGAATGTTGAATATTGGCCCCCACTCTCTTCTGGCTTGTAGGAATTCTGCAGAGAGTTCTGCTTTTAGTCTAATTGGCTTCTCTTTGTGGGTAACCTGACCTTTCTCTCTGGCTGCCCTTAACATTTTTTCCTTCATTTCAACCTTGGTGAATCTGATGTATGTGTCTTGGGGTTGCTCTTTTCAAGGAGTATCTTTGTGATGTTCTCTGTATTTCCTGAATTTGAATGTTGGCCTGTCTTGCTAGTTTGGGAAGGTTCAGATAATATCCTGAAGAGTGTTTTCCAACTTGGTTCCATTCTCCCTGTCACTTTTAGGTACACCAATAAAATGTAGATTTTGGTGTTTTCACATAATCCCATATTTCTTGGAGGCTTTGTTCCTTCCTTTTCATTCTTTTTTCTCTAATCTTGTCTTCATGCTTTATTTCATTAAGTTGATCTTCAATCTGTGATATCCCTTCTTCCACTGGATTGATTCAGCTATTGATACTTGTGTGTGCTTCACGAAGTTCTCATGGTCTGTTTTTCAGTTCCATCAGGTCATTTGTGTTCTTCTCTACACTGCTTATTCTAGTTAGCCATTCCTCTAATCTTTTTTCAAGGTTCTTGGCTTCCTTGCACTGGGTTAGAACATGCCCCTTTAGCTCAGAGGAGTTTGTTATTAGCCACCTTCTGAAACCTACTTCTGTCAATTCATCAAACTCATTCTCCCTGTCATCTTCTTCCCTTGCTGTTGAGGACTTGTGATCCTTTGGAGTAGAAGAGGCATTCTGGTTTTTGGAATTTTCAGCATTTTTGTACTGGTTTCTCCCCATCTTCATGGATTTATCTACCTTTGGTCTTTGACATTGGTGACCTTCGGATGGGGTTTTTGTGTTGACGTCCTTTTTGTTGATGTTGATGCTATTCCTATCTGTTTGTTAGTTTTCCTTCTGACAGTCAAGCCCCTCTGCTGTAGGTCTGCTGGAATTTGCTGAAGGTCCACTCCAGACCATGTTTGCCTAGATATCACCAGTGGAGGCTACAGAACAGCAAAGATTGCTGCCTTCTCCTTCCTCTGGAAGCTTTGTCCCAGAGGGGCACCTGCCAGATGCCAGCTGGAGCTCTCCTGTATGAGGTATCTGTCAACCACTGCTGGGAGGTGTCTCCCAGTCAGGAGGCACAGGGGTCAGGGACCCACTTGAGGAGGTAGTCTGCAGTCTGTCCCTTAATAGAGTTCTAGCGCTGTTCTGGGAGATCTGCTCCTCTCTTCAGAGATGGCAGGCAGGAACGCTTAAGTCTGCTGAAGCTGTGCCCCAGCCACCCTTTCCCCCAGGTGCTCTGTCCCAGGGAGATGGGAGTTTTATCTATAAGACCCTGACTGGGGCTGCTATCTTTCTTTCAGAGATGCCCTGCCCAGAAAGGAGAAATCTAGAGAGGCAGTGTGGCTACAGCAGCTTTGTCGAGCTGCGGTGGGCTCCATCCAATTTGAACTTCCTGGTGGCTTTGTTTACACTGTGAGGGGAAAACAGCCTACTCAAGCCTCAGTAATGGCAGACACCACTCTCCCTACCAAGCTCTAGCATCACAGGTCAATTTCAGATTGCTGTGCTTGCAGCGAGAATTTCAAGCCAGTGGATCTTGGCTTGCTGGGTTCCATGGGTGTAGGAGATCAGTCAGAGTGGTGGGAGAAACAATAGGGAAAGGAGCAGAACTTCTGAAAGGTCAGAAGGTCCAGGGGAGAATAGCTGAAGGCAGCTGTTCTATATCCCTGAGGCAGAGGGCAAGGAGTAGGTACAAGTGAGTATAGGGGAATTTATCTTAAACAGGTTCCTTTACTTATATTGACAAGGAACTGACCTTTGATCATCCACGTGTATGACATTTCCTGAAAGGGGAACAATAAATGTTAGTAACCTTCAGGTTGTGTTTGCTCCAGGTTTTCGACATTGTGCCTGCACTGAATAAAAGCAAGCAGCTCCAGCTTCTCAGGGCTGCTGCACTTCGGCCACTAAAGCCAGGCAGATCCCTAGCTGCTCTTACACGCATACCTGTGTCTGAGTACCCCTTAGATCCATCGCTCGGCCAGGGTCTGCAGGACAGACCTGGCACGTGGGGGTGGGATCCGCTGAGCTAGACCACTTGGCTCCCTGGCTTCAGCCCCCTTTTCAGGGGAGTGAACAGTTCTGTCTTGCTGGTGTTCTAGGCACCACTAGGGTATTAAAAAAAAAAACTCCTGCAGCTAACTCAGTGTCTACCCAAATGGCCACCCAGTTTTGTGCTTGAAACCCTGGGCCCTTGTGGTGTAGGCCTCCAAGGGAATCTCCCAGTCTGCAGCTTGTGAAGACCATGGGAAAAGTGTAATATGTGGGTGGGCCAGAATGCACCGTTCCTCATGGCACAGTCCCTCACAGCTTCCCTTGACTACAGGAGGGAGTTCCCCAACCTCTTGTGTTTCCTGGGTGAGGAGATGCCCCACCCAGCTTCAGCTCACCCTCCATGGGCTGCACCCACTGTCTAACCAGTCCCAATGAGATGAGCCCGGTACCTCAGTTGGAAATGCAGAAATCACCCGCCTTTTGCATTGATCTCACTGGGAGCTGCAGATCGAAGCTGTTCCTATTTGGCCATCTTGCCAACCACCTCCAGTGCATTTGTTATTTCTCTAATTGTGTTCTTCATTTCCAGAAATTGTGATTGTTTTTTATGTATGCTATCTATTTCACTGAGGAATTTTCCTTTCATATCCTGTATCATGTTTGTTATTTCTTTAAGTTAGAATTCACCTTTCTCTAGTGCCTTTTTGATTAGCTTAATAATAAACCTTCTGAATTATTTTCCTGGCAATTCAGAGATTTTGTCTTGGTTTGGATATATTGTTGGTGAGCTGGTGTGGTATTTTGGGGGTGTTCAAGAACCTTGTTTTTTCATATTACCAGAATTGTTTTTCTGGTTCCTTCTCATTTGGGTGACTGTGTCAGGGGGAAGATCTGGGACTCAAGGGCTACTATTCAGATTCTTTTGTCCCACAGGGTGCTCCCTTGATGTAGTGTTCTCCCACTTCCTCTAGGGATGGGGCTTCCTGGGAGCCAAACTGCAGTGATTGTTTTTTCTCTTCTGGGCCTAGTCATCTAGCAGAGCTACTGGACTCCAGACTGGTACTGGGAAGTGTCGGCAAAGAGTCCTGTGATGTAATACATCTTCAGGTCTTTCAGCTGTGGATACCAGCACCTGCTCCAGTGGAGGTAGCAGGGGAGTGAAGTGGACTCTGTAAGGGTCCTTGGTTATATCTTCGTTAAATGCTCTGGTTTTGTGTTGGTTGGCCTCCAGCCAGGAGGTGGCATTTTCAAGAGTGCATTAGCTGTGGTACTATAGGGAGGAAGCAAACTTGACCTAGGGTCATCTAGTTATATATTCATGTTTCTGAGGCAGTGGGCAGAATATGTCCTTTGTCTTGCAACCAGGGCAGGTAAAGAAAGACCAACAGGTTGGGGCAGGCATAGGTGTGGCTGAGCTCAGACTCTTATTGGGTGGGGTCTGCTGCACTTGCTGTAGGGGGCGGGGGTGTGGTTCCCAGGCCAATGGAGTTATGTTCCCAGGGGGATTATGGCTGTCTCCACTGAGTGACATAGGACACCAGGGAAGTGGGGAAAAGCCAGCAGTCACAGGCCTCACCCCATTTCCACACAACCCACACTCCTAAAGGCCAGTCTCACTCCCACTGTGCCCCTGCCAACAACATCGAATCTATTTCCAGGCAGTCGGTGACCAGGGCTGAGAACTTGCCCCTGGCTATCAGCCTCCCTGCTGAGAAAGCAAGCAGACTCATGACTTTTCTTTTTGGCATCTCAGAGAAACTGCAGTGGCGATACAGTTCCTTCAAAGGGTCTGTGAATTCTCTTGGCTTTCCTGGTATGTTGCTGCAGTAATTCTTGAAGCAAAAGTTCATGATGTGAGTCTCCACATGCTGTCCTGTCTGTCCCAGCAGGAGCTGCAAGCTAGTCCTGCCTCCTCACCCTCACAGAACCACCAGAATAATGTTTGACCAAATATCTAGGCACTCTGTGGCCCGGTCAAGTTGACCCATAAAATTAACCATCACACTGGTCCCCATGCAAAGTGAAACCCAGGTTTTGGAGTTCAGGCCCAGGGTCCCCTTACGAGGAGGGCTCCTGAGGGTGATAAGTGTAATGGTCATATCTAGGCTGTCCTTCATAGCCACTTTCTTTCTTCCTAAACCTCAGGATTTAAGAGCACTGGCCTGAAACCTGGATTCGAATCTCTGCCATGTATTAGTTATGCAAACTTTAGCCATATTATTTAATCTCTATGCCTCAGTTTCTTCACCTTTAAAATTGAGATAAAAATAATCTCTACCTCAGGAGATTGTTGTGAAGAGTAATTAAGTTAATATGAAACATTTAGAACAATGCCTGGTACATGGTAAGCGCCCAATAAATATTTTAAAATAAATGTTTTTAAATGTTTTCATCTAAAACCAGTGTGAATCAGTTGTGGGATGTGGAAACCAAAAGCTAATTGAGCACACACAATAAATATCAGTACTTGCTGTTAGTTTTTAAAATATCAGCTATTTTTGTTGCTCTCACTCAGGCAGTTTTCTCTCTGGCCCTGACACTGACCTTAGAAAAGATAAATCTCTACAATGTGACCATCAGGTCTGCTGCAGCCCTGGTCTGCTCTGCAATAAATGAATTTAGCACTTATTGGGGTGCTCAAAGAAGTCCTATCCCTGAAAGACATTCTTTACACTTTAGGAAAACAGGAATGGACAGTAACTCCACCCTTAAAGGCCAGTGAAATATTGACCTAGAGTATCTCCAACCTGGTGCTCTACAAGGCTGGGACTGCAATGTAAACTCATATTCCCAAGGGATCAATTAAGCCAGAATATCCCACAGTTTGTCTATAACAAGACAATGGGGCTTTCTGCAGCCCTCAAAACTCTCAAGTGAGGAAAAATTGTTAAGCCTTCAGATTTTAACCAAGCAGACCAGAAGGTGGTATATAGCCATAGCTTATTAAAAAGCATTTCAGATAGAAAAGGCGGTGCTGTAATTTCAGATCTGAGAAATGAAACTGAAACCAAACCTATATTCTTCCTTCCCCAACCTCCCAGTTGTTAAACACGCCCTGCTGTTTCTGAGCCAATTAGAGCTTGCTGTGAGACAGAAGCAGAGAATACATAGACTTCCGTTAAAACCAGAATGAGGAAAATACTTTTCTCTAGCATCGTAGGAGGAAGAAAACAAACACATCAGATATTTTCAGCACTAAAAGAGATGGTTTTCCCCACATATATGTAAAAGAAATTTGCAAGACTACTGGGTAAGTACAATATCTATTATTAATATTGTTCTTACTATCTATAGCAGCATTTTATTGAATAGAAAGAAATATACTTTTCAATTAGAAGCTTCAAATATACCTCAAAACAAAAAATAGTATTCTAAGCCTAGAAATTCTAGACTATTTGTTGCTCTGACAGCAGTCTGCTTTATATTAGTTGAAAAATTAGTCATAACATTTCATTAAAGATGCAGTTGAAAACTACAGACACTTTTATTGATGAACTCTCCCAAGGCATACAGCATCTTCAGAAAGAACAAACAGGCCAGGTGTGGTAGCCTGTAATTTGAGCACTTTGGAAGGCAAGGACAGGAGAATTGTTTGAGGCCAGGAATTCAAAATTAGCTTGGGCAACATAGCAAGACCCTACCTAGCAAGATTCCTACCAAAAAAAAAAATAGCTGGATGTGGTGGCACGCAGCTGCAGTCTAGCTACTTTGGAGGCTGAGGCAGAAGGATTGCTTGAGCCCAGGAATTTAAGGTTACAGTGAGCTGTAATTGTACCACTGCACTCCAGCATAGGCAACAGAGTGAGACACTGTCTCAAAAACAACAACAACAACAACAACAACAACAACAACAAACGGAAAGATAGATAAAGAACAGGCAATGAAAACTTAAAAGTACTTTACTTTAATCAAATACAACTTCCACCATCTACTCTAAGAAATAGGTAGCTTCCAGAAAACAAAACTCTCTGAGAGCTTCTCAGATATTGTTGTCGGATGACATACATAGGAAGACAGACAGACAGATAGACTACTATGGGAAGTCTTTGGAATTAAGGCAGCTTTATGTTCCTGGCAAAAATACTAGGTTTATGTCTAATTTCTCCCCAAAGCAAACAGTAAGATAATGCAAGACGGTTGGAGGATCACATTTCTGAATAAAGGTCTGACCTTCAACTCCCTTCTAGAAAAGTTAACAAACCCTACAGTTTAACACCAACCAGAGTTAAAAAATGTATGTGGGTTCAATCAGTAACAAATAGTGTTTCCTACTAAGATGCTCAGAACCAAATTTTCAGGTCAGTTTTTAAAGTATACGGAATCAAAACCAGTAATTTTAGGTACTAATTTTACTCCCTCATTTCACCTTTTCTCCCCCTACCCTTATTTAGCCTTCCCCATGATTTCTTTACCTAAGGGTTTTAATATATGTGTGATCCTATATTACTTTCTAAATTACCTAAAAAACATTTTGGAACGAGAGGGTATAAAGAAATCATTAATATGTAAAATATCTATGAACAGTGGCATAAATACCTATGAATGCTGGCATATATTTTCTCCAAGAGTGACATCATCAACAATTTTTTTAAAATAATGTATTGAAAGGCACAGCTATCAATAATCTGACAAAAGCTTTAGGGGAAGAAGTGTGAAAGTGTAACCTGTTCAATGACATTTGAAATATTCATAGTGTCTCTAGTAGAGAAAACAGTCAAAAGTCACTTCTTTATTATTTGCTTACTTTCCCAACCAAATGTTCAGGCCCAGTTCTCCATCCCCCACACTCTTATATGAGAACCTGACTTTACGTTTTCACATATAATGGTATGTAGTTCTTGCATGAATCAAATAATCCATCTAATTCACCAGTCTCATAATCTAGTTTATGACATATCACCAGAGACTAAGGACTGTGTCTGTAAAACTGTGAAAGGTCCAAGTTGATGAAGGAAGTCAGGGAGACCCTAGGAAAAGGGTACTGGTGGGAAGCGGCGAGATGGGGGATGAGAGCCATAGGTATGAGGCCTCAGGAGCCAGCGCACGCTAGCAGCACAATAATCGGGGACCCCTGCTTTATGTGTTAAATAGTGTGGGTGCAACAAAAGTGAGCATACTTTCATAGGGTGGAGTAGACGTGACTCAGTAAATGGATACAAGAAAGTGACTCAGATAGAATGGTTACTAGACGAGGGTGTAGTCAGTTTTTAGACAACTCTAAAACCAGTATTGAATCAACACTGAGTGGGATGCAGAAGTCAAAAGTTCATAATCTGAGACTGCAATAATAAACACCTAGTAAAACTTTAGGACCTCACATACCATTGAATTCACAATTATCCTTGATTCATAACACACCATCATCTTTTTTATGCAAGTATCTCTTTTATTTTATTCATCCGTTTTATTTTCTAATGTATTTTGGAGGCATTATTGGCTTTTTAAATACAGTATAACTTGTATACAATGAACAAACTTAAGGGTAAGCCTTTATGAAATTTTAATATGTACTTATCTGTGCAACCGCTAGCCATATCAAGATATAAAATATTTCCATCACCCCTTCCCAGAAAATATCCACCCCCCAACATCAGTCTGACTTCTATGACAGATTACTTTTGCCTATTCTTAAACTATATAAGTAGAATTCTACAATATGTTTTCTGTTGTAACTGGCTTCTTTCACACAGTATGATGTGATATTCATTCATGTTGTTGCCTGTATCAGTACTTTAATAATTTTCATGAGAATTGCAGATCCAAAGAGTAGGTATATATTTAACTTCACAAAAACTGATAGTTTCTTGAAGTGGCTAAAACAATGTACATTCCCACAGACAGCATATGAGAGCTCCACTGACTCCACATCATCACCAACATTTGGCATTAACAGTCTTTAATTTTAGCCATTCTGGTAGGCATGTAGTATTATCTTGTTGTAATTTTACTTTGCATTTCCATTACGGTAAACATTTTGGAACACTTCTAATTGCACTTCATTAGACCCGCCCCTGTGACTATGAAAATCCCCACTGGTTTTCCTCCTCCCGGTAGGCCAAGTCTAATCCTTAAACCCAACCCCAAATCAACAAATGCCCCCAAAGCTTACATAGACAGGGATCTTTCCTCTCTGGAATTTTAGTTCATCCAGTCCTTGTCATCTGGTCTATTGATGACTTTGTGATTACTTAAAAATATGAGTTTTGCAATTTTTCAGATTTTGATCTCATGGTTGCAGTGGGTGAATAGGTGGCCTTTTGTGATCTCCTACATCACCCTGGAAGTGAGACTTCTTCGGTTTCTTCTAGAGTCAGTTTGGTAAGCTATATTTTTTAAGAATTTGCTCAATTAATCTCAGTTTTCAATTTATTCAGTTAAAGTTGGTTCATTTTTAAAGTTTCTAATATTGCTTATTTGTGCCACCTTTCTTTTTTATTTTTTGGTTAATCATTCCATGGATGTGTCAATTTTATTACTTTTTATCTAAACAGCTCTTGGACTTCACTGAGTCTCTCTTGTCATTTTGTTTTCCACTTTATAAATTCCTGCTCTTATCTTTATTTTTCTCATTCTTCTTATTTCAGTTTTATTCTGTTATTCTTCTTTCAATTTATTAAACTGGCATTAGGTTCATGATTTTCAGTCATTCCTCCTTTTTTAAAAAACTATACTTTAAGTTCTAGGGTACATGTGCACAACGTGCAGCTTTGTTACATATGTATACATGTGCCATGTTGGTGTGCTGCACCCATTAACTTGTCATTTACATTAGGTATATCTCCTAATGCTATCCCTCCCCCCTCCCCCACCCCACAACAGGCCCCAGTGTGTGATGTTCCCCAACCTGTGTCCCAGTGTTCTCATTGTTCAGTTCCCACCTGTGAGTGAGAACATGTGGTGTTTGACTTTCTGTCCTTGGCAACACTTTGCTCAGAATGATGGTTTCCAGCTTCATCCATGTCCCTACAAAGGACATGAACTCATCCTTTTTTAAGGCTGCATAGTATTCCATGGTGTATATGTGCCACATTTTCTTAATCCAGTCTATCAATGATGGACATTTGGGTTGGTTCCAAGTCTTTGCTATTGTGAATAGTGCCGCAATAAACATACGTGTGCATGTGTCTTTATAGCAGCATGATTTATAATCCTTTGGGTATATACCCAGTAATGGGATGGCTGGGTCAAATGGTATTTCTAGTTCTAGATCCTTGAGGAATTGCCACATTGTCTTCCACAATGGTTGAACTAGTTTACAGTCCCACCAACAGTGTAAAAGTGTCCCTATTTTTCCACATCCTCTCCAGCACCTGTTGTTTCCTGACTTTTTAATGATCCCCCATTCTAACTGGTGTGAGATGGTATCTCATTGTGGTTTTGAGTTGCATTTCTCTGGTGGCCAGTGATGATGAACATTTTTTCATGTGTCTGTTGGCTGCATAAATGTCTTCTTTTGAGAAGTGTCTGTTCATCTTTTGCCCACTTTTTGATGGGGTTGCTTGATTTCTTTTTGTAAATTTAAGTTCTTCATAGATTCCGGATATTAGCCCTTTGTCAGATGGGTAGATTGTAAAAATTTTCTCCCATTCTGTAGGTTGCCTGTTCACTCTGATGATAGTTTCTTTTGCTGTGCAGAAGTGCTTTAGTTTAACTAGATCCCATTTGTCAATTTTGGTTTTGTTGCCATTGCTTTTGGTGTTTTAGTCATGAAGTCCTTGCCCATGCCTATGTCCTGAATGGTATTGCCTAGGTTTCCTTCTAGGGTTTTTATGGTTTTAGCTCTAACGTTTAAGTCTTTAATCCATCTTGAATTAATTTTTGTATGAGGTGTAAGGAAGGGATCCAGTTTCAGCTTTCTATATATGGCTAGCCAGTTTTCCCAGCACCATTTATCAAATAGGGAATCCTTTCCCCATTGCTTGTTTTTGTCAGGTTTGTCAAAGATCAGATGGTTGTAGATGTGTGGTATTATTTCTGAGGACTCTGTTCTGTTCCATTGGTCTATATCTCTGTTTTGGTACCAGTACCATGCTGTTTTGGTTACTGTAGCCTTGTAGTATAGTTTGAAATCAGGTAGCATGATGCCTCCAGCTTTGTTCTTTTGGCTTGGGATTGACTTGGCAACGCGGGCTCTTTTTTGGTTCCATATGAACTTTAAAGTAGTTTTTTCCAATTCTGTGAAGAAAGTCATTGGTAGCTTGATGGGGATGGCATTGAATCTATAAATTACCTTGAGCAGTATGGCCATTTTCATGATATTGATTCTTCCTATC